>NC_000011.10:37332727-37484242 GCF_000001405.40 Homo sapiens | reverse complement strand
GCCCTATGCTGAAGAACTATGAACTGATATCTATAAAATATAAGTGTATAATTGTGTAACTGATCACTCTTAAGAAAGAGGGGAGGTTGCCATAGCACTGACAATAGTATTTTGTATGCATGCATGTGTGTTTATTTATTTATGGACTTACTTTTCTTGACTGCTGAGCATTCATTCTCATTTTCTTCTAGTAAGAACACTTTCCAGTTCTGTTTGAAGAATTACTCCTCCATCACTGTGCTTTGCGTTTCCTGGGTCCATCAATCAAAGTATCCAGCTTTCTGCTAACTGAAGAGAAAGCATATGGCTCAAGCTAGTTAAATTATGCTCTCTGTATTACTCTTGAGTTTAGAAACCTGAATGTCAAATTTAATGAGAAATATCATTGCTTTTGTTTTAAATACCCCAGAGCTGACTTATCTCCTAAAGAGATAAACATTTAGCTTATGCACCTGGTTTGACCTGGTCTACCCAAAGATAGCACTTTAGTATTTTATTTAAACCTTGTGAGCCACATCATATCCTTCCAATTAATTTTCTTTCTTTCTTTTTTTTTTTCTTTTTTGAGACAGAGTCTCACTCTGTCACCCAGGCTGCAGTGAAGCGGCATGATCTCGGCTCACTGTAACCTCTGCCTCCTGGGTTCAAGCAATTCTCCTGTCTCGGCCTCCTGAGTAGCTGGGACTACAGGTGCATGCCACCACACCTGGCTAATTTTTGTATTTTTAGTAGAGATGAGGTTTCACTATATTTGTCAGGTTACCTGCCTCAGACTCCCAAAGTGCTGAGATTACAGGCATGAGCCACCATGCCCAGCCAAATTTTCTTTGACCTACTAATACAAAGTTTCTTTCTCTTGAAAACAATGCACTTAATTGCATTGTGATTGCAAGCTAGTTTTGCAAGCTGGAGAACCAGGAAAGCCAATGTCTGAAGGTCCGAGAAGGGGGATTGAAAGGTGGGGCATGAGAGCAAGGGATGGGCCATGGTGTAAGTCTCAGCCTGGTAGAGCACTGATATCCAAGGTCAGGAGAAGATGGATGTCCCAGCTTAAACACGGAGAAAAAAAAATTGCCTTTCCTCCACCTTTTCATTCTATTGGGCTTTCCATTTTTAGTCTTTGCCGTTTCATGATGCTATAACAAAATACCATAAACTGGGTGGCTTCTAAACAACAGAAATTTGTGTCACAGTTATGGAGGCTGGGAAGTTCAAGCAAATTTGGTATCTGGTGATAGTCCACTTCCTGGTAGGCCATCTTTTCACTGTAACCTCACAGTGTGGAAAGGGCAAGGGGTCTTTTTCTTGGTCTGTTTTTTTTCTTGGGCTCCATTCTCACTCACATCATCTCTGACCTCGTGAAGTATTCACCTACCAAAGGCTCCACATAATACCATAACTTTGGAAGGTAGGCTTTCAACATATGAATTTTCGGAGGACATAGACATTCAGATCATCGCAGTCTGATTGTAAGAACTTTCTATTATAAACCTATTTGGTGCATTTAAACATATCTTATACATTTAAACCTTTAATAGGATACAACGTCTTCCAGGAAATTGAAAATAATAATAAACCAAGAAGGTGAATAGAAAAGCATTCCTTATTAATCCCTGAGCTATAGCCCTGTAGTAGAAGCTGGCTTTTAAATGTTCTGTAATGCTTGGTGTGTACAGAAGAATGCCACAGATTCCAATTGTGTCTTCATTTGCAAGTAGCCTAGGCTTTAATTTTAAAAGAGGTTGAATACTACTTACTACTTGTCCTAGTTTCCTATTGCTACAATAATAAACTGTCACAACATAGTGATGTAAAACAACACAAAATATCCTCTTATGGTTGTGGAGGTCAGAGGTCTACAGTTATTTTCATTGGGCCAAAGTCATGGAGTTGACAGGGATTCCTTTTGAGGCTTTGCAGAGAAAACTCATTTTTCTTGCTTATTTCTTTTCTTTCTTTCTTTTTTTTTTTTTTTTTTTTTTTTTTTTTGAGATAGAGTCTTGCTCTGTCACACAGGCTGGAGTGCAGTTGTGCTCACTGCAACCTCCGCCTCCTGGGTTCAAGCGATTCTCCTGCCTCAGCCTCCTGAGCACCTGGGACTACAGGCACACACCACCACGCCAGGCTCATTTTTGTTATTTTAGTAGAGACGGGGTTTCACCATGTTGATCAGGATGGTCTTGATCTCCTGACCTCATGATCCACCCGCCTCCGCCTCCCAAAGTGCTGGGATTACAGGCGTGAACCACCGTGAACCACCGCGCTCGGCCTTCTTGCCTATTTCTAATGGTCACCTGTATCCTTTGGTTCCTGACGTCTTCCTCCATCTTCAAATTGCATCATTCCAATTATGGCTTCCATCATAACATTGCCTTCTCCTCTGACTTCTCCTGCATTTTTCTGTGAGGATCATTGTGATTACATTGGGCCCACCTCTAAAATCTGGGAGCATCTCTTCATCTCAATATCCTTAATTTAATCAAATCTGCTAAGTCCCTTGTACCACACAGGGTAACATTCCCAAATTCCAGAGATTATTATGTGGATATATTTGGGGGCCCATTATTCAGCTTACCATACCGTTTTAAATTATCTATACTTGATCCTAAATGTTATGTTGGACTCATAACACTTATCAGAGCTAATATGTATTTACAAAATAAAAAAGCAATGTCCTAATTGCTATGGTCCTGTTTTCCCAAAAGCTCATAATTTACTGGACAAGTCAGGTACACAGCCAAATGTATTAGGCTGACGCAAAAGTAATTGTGTTTCTTGCCATTAAAAAAATGGCAAAAAAAAACTGCAATTACTTTTGCACCAGCCTAATAAATCTTAGCAGATTTTTCTTTTATTTTATTTGCTATAGAAGCAGAAGTATATGTTTTGATACTAGGAATATTTTCACAGTATTTCAATTGACCAAACAAACCAGTATTCAAAGTCATAATTTTATAGCAGGGCTGCATTCAACTTTTAGTGTGTATGGCATTCAAGAGGTCATGACTAAGATACTTTTCAGTGTTTTCTGAATTTACAAAACATCTTCTGTGATTTTATTACCTGAAGCAATAAAAATTTTATACCTCTGAAAGGCAGCTTCTAAATCAGTAGTTTCTAAACATTGATTTTTCATCTCATGCTCCATAATGAAGACTTCACTCGTCGGAGAAGAATGGGGAAAAATATGAAAATGTAAGGAGTTTTTTATAAAACTAAATGTATTCAGTTTTAAGACTGTCCTTCATGTCCTTTTCACAATTTTTACTTTTCAAAAAATTTTAGAGATCATAAGTAAATCTTTTTAACCTGAAAAATAATAACTTAATGAATGTATGTCAGTAGCAAATTAATACACACACATACAAACATACATGCATACATTCTGGCTTATAAAATTTGAAAATCTAGAAATCATATCTGTAGCATGTTAATTAAATTACACTAATAAGTTAGTATTAACACCTATAATTGTATACTGCTAAAAAATTTACAAAATACCTTCATATCCATTAGCTCAAGGGCCCTCCCCACAAAATAAATCCATGAGGAAAAAAGTAAGTGATTATTATCTTCATTTTGTAGAATGAGAAATAAAAGCACAAAATTTTAGATGACTTACCAGAATTATTTCAGTTGATATGCTGTATCTGTCATCTTAAACTTGCCTTATATCTTCAACCAGTTTTCAGAACATTTCATTTATCACCTTGCACGAACTAAAATGTTGGTTTTCCCTAATTCCTCTGCAGTCAGCTCAAGTTCCATATCCACCGCTTGAGCTGTGCACATTTCCTTTGGACCAACTGTCCCAGTGTGGGGAGGCTAAAGAGAGATATGCTAATGCATCTTCCTTGTTCATACTGTTGGTTTTAACCCAGTTTTGTCTTTTTTTTTCATCTTCCTAAACTATAACTTCCATCTCTGAATCTCATGTTTTTAATGGGGGGAAAAAAAAGGTCATCTATTTTGAGTGCTTCAGAAAGGTCAAAAAAATAAGGAAATTAATGTGATCAGTGGTTTGGCCACATACAGGTAAGTGAAAAGTATGCATTGTAGAGTGCTGGGTATGAAACATATTTAGAATGGGATAACTGATAATAAAGACAAAGGGCACATAACTCTTTCAAGATTGTTACTAGAAATAGGTATAGGCAAAAAGAATGTTAGAGAATGATAAGGTATGAGGTCAACATAATTGATTTTTTAATTACGTGAAACAGAAATTATGCCACAGAAATACATGACTCCTTTATATATAATAACCCAATATGCTACTCCTTGAAAAATCTGGTTAGAGGTTAGTAGTGCTTAATCACTTTAACATATATCAATTACAGAAAATGCTACAACTTCATTAAATTATTCTTTGGTGATATATTGTGGAAACAGCATTCAGAGAAGGCTCTCTAAATGTTATGGAGGCTGGTGAAAGCCCTTCTACTCCATTATTGGAGGGGATGTAATTATGGAAAATATCAGGAAGGCTTCGCAAAAAAATAAATGGAGATGGAATAGTTGGATTTGAAAATTAGGGAAAAATAAACCTTCAGCCTTATCTCATTTTATACATAAAAATTAGTTTGTGATGAATGATAGACCTCAATGTAAAACAAAAGTGTAAAGCATTTGAAAGAAAATATAGAAGAATATCATTAATTCTTGATTGAGACAAAACTTGCTTAGATAAGTCAGAAAAAAGCAGTAATCATGAAAGCAAAAAATGACAAACTGGGTTTCAACAAAATTGAAAAATTTTGTCATGACATGTATTTAACAAAATGAACAGGAAAACCACACACTGGAAAAAATACATATTTCTACATTTAAAAGCCCCTTAAAAGTCAACAATAAAAAGGACAAAACATTTTTGAAAAGGGAAAGAGGGCAATGGTTTTGACTGGTTGGACTGTCTACAACAGAAAACATATTTTTTCATTAGAGAAGTAATAATTTAGTCCTCAATTAGGTCGTATTTCATACTCATATGGATGGCTAAAATTTAAAAAACAGTACCAGTTTTAAATATTGACAGGATGTATAGCAACTGATACTTTCATATATTGGCAATGGATGTTTACATTGTTGTAATCATTTTGTGAACTGTGACCCAAATTCCACTCCTTGGTATTTATCTAAGAGGATTGAAAATAGATATCCACAGACATATACAAAAATATTCATCATAACTTTATTCATAATAACTATGCCTTGAAATAACCCAAATGCCCACCAACTAATAATCAATAAACAAATTTTTATGTGTTTATACTACTTAATATAAAGAATCAAAATAGCAAAAACTGTATATGAATGTATATATAAATACACAAATTACATAAAATTTGAGAAACATTTAATTATATAGAGTGAAAGTAACCTGTGATAAAGGAGTAAATACTGTATTGTTTCATTTGTATGAAGTTCCAAAACAAGAAAAACTCATCTATGGTTATTGACATCAAAGATTAGTTGCCTTTTGGGTAGAGGAGAAGGGAGCAAAAAAGGGGACATGGGAGAACTTTCTGGGGTGCTGAGATTCTTGTGGATGTTGGTTTCTATGTGGATTACAGCTGTATAAGCAATTGCCTCAGCTCATTAAACTTATCACTTAATATCTCTACATCTTGTTGCATATAAATTATAAATTAATTAAGAAAACAAAAAGGATCAGTAAAAATGTATTAGTCCAATACTATACAATGTCTCCATTTAAAAAAATTCTTGAAATTCTCTATGAATTAGTATGCTCAATAGCAGAACAAAATTATATGGTTTTTGTCTTAAGAATAAGTTAAAATAGGAAGATTTTTACAACAGATTTTAAAACTCAACTTCCTTCAAGGGTGACCATCTTTGACGTTTTCTTTTCAGATGCCTGAAAATATTTTTGCAAAAGAGAAGAGGATCTCTTATGCTACGTAAGATTGTATATATTCTTTATGTTTTGGTGTATTTCAACTTTGTTTTGGTGATGCGATATTTATTTTAATCTAGGAAAAATGGCAGTAATAATCATGCTAAACTAAACTTGAAACAAAACAAATATAAATAATATATACTTTGTCCAACACCAGAGTATTCTAACATCTGTACGTGATGTTATTTCTAGGAAGAGGTATATTCCTTCATGTTTTCCCCTCTGTATGACTTTAGAAAGGATTAATATTTTGAGATGTCCTCACAATAAATGAATGTTTTGAAATATACTGAAAAAAATGTGAGTGTATTGAAAATATGCTTCTTTGCTTAACAGCCAAGGCGTAAGACATACTCATATCTTATTATGAGTATTCAACTTGGGCATTGAATGAGTTTAGGTTGCATAACACTTTTAACAAGACAATAATGAAAACATAAAAACAATAGAAAATAAAAAGTTTTCTAGAAAACATATCTACAAAATGAGAACATGCTCTCAAATAATTTCAACGTGTAGCTTGTAGTTATTATTCAGTGATCTCCATTCCAGCTCAGTATATTAAACCTTCACAGTTAAAAGCCCCACCCTAAAACTTAATGTCTTCTACCAAAAACTTGTACCAAAATCATAAAAGCAGATTTCTGCAGTTCCCTGTGAAAAATATGTAAAATGTATTCGAAAAAGATGCCAGACACGAAGACTACATATTGTATGGTGTCACTTATGACGAATGTCTAAAAAATTGTAAATCCATAGGGACAGAAAGTAGGCTAAGCAGTTGTCTGGGGCTGACAGGCAGAGGGCATAGGGAATAATTGCCAATAAATATGAGTGATCTTACTGGGATGATGGAACTATTCTAAAACTAGATTATGCTGATGATTGCACAACTTAGTAAATTTACTAAAAATCATTGAATCGTACACATAAACTTGGTAAATTTAAATGTGTTTGAGGCCCCGTGCGCGGTGGCTCACACCCGTAATCCCAGCACTTTGGGAGGCCGAGGCGGGCAGATCACGTGGTCAGGAAATCGAGACCATCCTGGCCAACATGGTGAAACCCAGTCTCTATTAAAATACAAAAAAATTAGCTGAGTGTGATGGCGGGCGCCTGTATCCCAGCTACTGGGGAAGCTGACGCAGGAGAATGGTGTGAACCCGGGAGGCGGAGCTTGCAGTGAGCGGAGATCACGCTACTGCACTCCTGCCTGGGCAGCAGAGCAAGACTCCGTATCAATCAATCAATCAATCAATCAATAAAGTGTTTGAGTAGTTAAACTAACAAGTTTTTTTTTTTTCTAAATTAGTGTCTAGTTTCTTATACATCCACGTTACAATGTGGAAAAAAAGCACAGTATTAAGAAGGACCTATTTTATTTCTAGTGGTTGAGTGATTGACACAGTTTGATTGTTAAGTTTAAATGGATACTTATAACAAGTTAAATATGAAATGCCAATTTTTCTTGCTAAAAGCAAGAGAGTGGAAATTTTTTTATACTTCAATGATTAGGATGTTCTCTACAATATATATGGAGAGGCATTCGTCAATAATGCTTTCATATAGTTTTTTTTCTTTCACAAGTTAGAGGTACTGTGTTTCTCCACTTGGAGGAAGTAAGTCAATGTGAAGTGTCTGCTTTTCTCTCTCTAGCAATACATACTTAGGATTTCAATTAAATTAATAAGATAAAATTAAAATATTTACTTTGGGAAATAGGGGTTTCTCAACCTTAGCAGTATTTACGGGTATTTTGACACTAATAATTCCTTGTTTTGGAGGCTGTCCTGTGGTGTATGGGATGTTCAGCAAAATCCTTAGCCTCTACCATTAGACAATAATAATTAGAAGGATATATCCAGACAGACAATGTTAATGAAAAAAAATAAAGAGCTAGTGTATATATCGTTTGTAAGTGTGAGGAATTTGTAACATTTTTAGGATAGGATTTATGTTCAGGAGATAGGGAAGGGAATTAGATACATAAGGAGTTAAAGGAGGCTTCAGCTTTATCAGTAAGATTCTGACAGATAACATGAAAAGAGACCTAAAATGTAGAATAAAAAAGAAAACAAATATCTGCAATCTGAGTGATGGAAACATTTGTTTTGGTGAAATTATTCTCAATAATTTTATACATGTAGAATAAACTACATATATAGTACAGAGAGAGAAAAAGAGAAAGATAGAGATTAATAAACTAAACTTCATGGTCACAGGGCCCTGGGAGATTTGGAGAATGTTTCTATTTCCCCTCTTTGTTTACAGAATCAGAAAGAAGAACAGTCACGAAATGAAAGTGCATTCCTAGAAACTGTAGGTGTCCTATATATTACAATGCTGCTATTTTGCTTCTTTTATCAACATGATTTAGATTCTAAATAATAGTAATCATTTACAACAAAATTACAATAGAGAAAAGTTACAAATGCATGCTTAAACACAAGCATTTTAAAAATTATACACTATCTCTAATTATTCCTAGTGTTTACACAGAATTATATGATAGCCAAGGTTTAAGCAAATGATTACAAATAAGTAATTTAGTTATTACTTATTAATTTTAAATAATTATTATAATATGATATTAAATGTAACAATTATTATTTATGATTATTACCTACCTAATAAATAATTTTCAATTTCTTAAAAAATACAGAAAACTTCTTTTAGCAGATATTATGATAATCCATTCTGGTCATTATTACTTAGCTTGGTGTTATAGAAATTGAGAAAAATGAGTGTAAAATCATGTCCCCTCAAACAAAAACAACTCCATATGGTAAAATACTGATAAAAGTAGTTCTATTGAGAGTTATTCCTGCTCTCAGAAATTAGCACAATAAAGAGTTCATATTAAAATTGAGATAATAGAATCCCAGATTTTCCTCCTTTTAATTTTACAGTTGAAAGACCCCTGAAAAGTTGTTTAGCTCTTATTTTATAGATGTGGAAAATGAGATTCAGAAAGTTCAGACGATTTCCTTCCCCAAGGACACCTGGTGATTTAGTAGCAGAACTGGATCTGGAACGCATATCTTCATCTTTCTATGCTTTTTCTACACTCCCGAAGTGAATTCCTGTCATAGTATCTTTTTATTTTCTAACAGAGAGTATTTTATAACACAGCACAATGGTAACTACATACCTAATGTGCATTTCAGAACACATTAGGAATATTAATGTTATTATTAGGAGAAAAGTCTTTTACTGCAGCTTAAACTTTCATTTTTCCCCCATTATCTATTGCACAACTCCAGTTCTTAAGGGGGAAAAAAAATCAGACTCAGTCAGCAACTTGTAACCTCTGCAAACTCTATGACTGTCTCTATGACAGCCTGAAGGTCAAAAGACTGGATCATCTCTAAATTAGTCAATTCTCTGAAACTCAAGGATGTCAGTCATTGGAAAGGATCAGCTGACCTATCTCCCCACAAGCACTCTGACAGATTTAATGTTCACAACATCTATTGTCAACAAAGAAAATAGAGGGGGAAGACACTCAATTTGTATACTTCCCTCCTAAGGCATTCAAGGCACAGACTAGGATAAATACGTTGTTTATTTTCTAAACTGATGGCATTTCCCTGTTTGCTTTTATCTGCTGTTTCATTTAGCTCAAAAGATCTAACTTTCTTCTTTATCTCTTCCTTTGAGCTAGCTGGATGAGATTTGCTAAGGACGGGAAAGCTAGCACTGCCATAATAGAATGTCATAAATTGTTTCAGCATACAGTGACTTGAGTAAACAATTTGTTTAAATTCTCCCACCAAGAGCCATGCATATATTCCCATTGTTACCAAAAGAGATTTTTACTTGTTTTTATTTGCATCTTGCCTGAATAGATCAGCGGGGAAAGGCATGGAATTTGGAGCAACACTCTCTTGGGTTTATATATCCTAAATTGAGATCATTTACCTCTCTGGACCTAAGTCTGTCATTTACATAAGAAGTGTAATACCAATTATATCGGTTAGGATTATATTTAGCTGCTGGTGACAGAAACCCCAAAAGTAACAGAGGCTTAAGCAAGATTGACGTTTATACTTTTTCTAAAACAAAACTGAACAAGTGGAAGAGGACTGATATGGTGGTTAATGCATCAAGGGATCAGAGTCCTTTTATCTTCTTGTTCTATCATTTGTGGCCTTTACTTCATAGTTAAGGAAAGCAGAATTTTGATGTAGAGGCAAGAAAGAAGAAAGGAAGGAAAAAAGAGGGAGTGGTAAAGGGTACACAGATGATATGTGATATGTCACAAAGAACATGTCTCATTGGCCAGCACTAGTTACATGGCTGTACCTAGCTGCACAGGAGGCTGGAAAATATGGTGTCCATTCTGGATGGACTTAGACCCACTCAAAAAGTCAAGATCTGCCTTATTTTCAGCTGTCTTTCCCTCTCTGTGGGACCTTCAGGCACCTGCTTGGGTCTCTTCCAAGGAAATTTTCCTTTCCTTCCTGTTCTAAAGCCCTTTTAAATAAACTTCCACTCCTGCTCTTAAAAAAAAAAATCAGGATCCTATTACCACAGCAAAAAAGAAGAATATTTTGGGACACAACTAGCATCTCTGCCACACCTAATTTAGGAGACATTGCTAGTTTTTCACAAGTTTCTGGGCTGCAATCCCAGGTTCCCTTGCATTTAGATATTATCATTTGACTATGCTCTCCCCATTGGGATATGAGTTAAAGTGATCTGAGCCATTTCCATGCCAAAATCTTTAAAATTTTGAGTATTCTCTCTCTATGTTCTCTTTGCAGTATGTGTCTTTCCTTTGAGCTAGCTAAAAACCTGGACTTTCACGCAGCTACTTTTCAATGTAAATGGGTACAATAACTTAGGAAATAGAGTAGGGAACATGGAAGGCATCCAGTATCTGCATGGCTGTGGGGAAGGAAAATACCTGCTGATCTGATATACTTACCCAGTCCTAGTACATTTGAGAGAGATACACTTCTATATTTTGTTCATACATCCTAGTAGTTAAGCCTCACTTTGAGTGATATATTTAGCACACAGGAATTTTTCTGGAGAATAAATGATGTAATATCTACAAAGTGCTGACAGTGCCTGCTTATGGTAAGTAAACAACAAAAATAAATTTAAAATAAAGATATATATAAAAAACAATAATATACATACCAGCTATACATTTATTAAAATATTTTATGTAAATTTTTATAACTGTGTATATAGCTTTATAAATATAACCAGCTGTCTCTTTGGAGTAACATCAGGATCCTCTAAAGTGAATTTTACATCAATTATTCTATGTAAAATATAAATAGTAACATATCAAATATACCTTCAAATTTACTGAAAACCCATGTACTTCTGTTGCCCTGATGAAATAGCCCAAAATTGTACTTATTTTAGACAAAAAAAAGGTGTATGGACCAGAGCTACCTTAGTCTTCCATGTATCAATTTCACCTATTTGAGGCCTCCAATGAAGTATAATACATAAAATAAGGCCAACACCACAATGAAAGAGGATCATTGTTAGTATGTGGACTTTGCCTTCCTTTACAACTAATAAGCTTCCACCTTCTAACCTCAGAATCATTTCCAGTCTACTGCAAAAATTTATGCAAACAATATTCATCACATGCCGGAAGAAAAGAAGTGATGTAGTCCTGATAACAAGGTATATGTAACTGAAGACATCATCCACAATCTTACTCTCTGCTCCAATGTTTGGGATTATAATAAAGAACATACATTGGCCCTTGGTGTAGCATATAACCCTGAACTTCAATTTTCTTTCCCTCAGCTCAGGAAAACTGTCACTGCTTTTCTCTTGTCCTCTAATTCAGTACCACAGATCAGCAACTACTCTGAGGAAGAAAGCAATTAAAGGTAGGTTTCATCTCAAGCATTCCCATTCTTTCAGATATTCTGGCCCCTCAAGTCTTGATTTCCTTGGTTTCTTTCTAATCATAACAAACATGCTCTTTGTATTTTATAAATATTTTTGATGAATGGATTAGCACAATATATTATTTCATAACAAAAAGAAATAAAAATGAGCTTTTGATGGTATAGAAACCGATCTCCAGGATGAATTCTAAGGATCCTCATCTCCTTGTATTCTCACCCCTGTGTAGTCGTCTCCCATAATATATGAGGGTTGGTGTGTTAGAACAATAGAACACAACAGCAGTGATATTAGATCACTTCCCAGGATGTGTTATAATTTCATTGTAGCTTCTGTCTCACTCTCGACTCTCTTGTTCTAGAGGAATTCAGTGCCAAGCCATGAGTACACGCAGCCCTGTGAAAAGATCAAGTAGTGAGAAACTGAGTCCTTCTACCAATAGTCAGTGAGAAATTGAGGTATCCTGTCAACAGTCACATGAGTGAGTCATTTTGAAATGGATTTTCCATCGCCAGTCAAGCCTATGGATGACTGAAGTCTGAGCTTATAGCATGACTGCAAACTCTTGAGACTCAAAGCCATAATCATTCAGTTAAGCTGCTTCTGCATTCTTGACCGTCAACCACTGTGTGGGATAATAAAGGTATGTATGTATGTGTGTGTGTGTTTAATTTGTAATTGTAGTAAAATATGCATAACATAAAATTTATCATATTAACCATTTTTAAGTGCATGGTTCAGCAGTGTTAATTATATTCACATTGTTGTCTAACCAATCTCCAGAACCTTTTCATATTGCAAAATTGAAACTTCATACCCATTAAACAACAGCACTCAGCTCTCCCTTCTCTGGAAACCACCCTTATACTTTCTGCTTCTGTGAGTTTTACTAATCTAGATAGGTCATGTAAGTGGAATCAGAAACTACTTGCCTTTTTGCGACTGATTCGTTTGACTTAGCATAATGTCCTCAAGGTTCTCCATGTTGTACTATGTGTCAGAATTCACTTCCATGTGAACGCTGAATAATACATTATTGACTGTGTATACCACATTTTCCTTACCCCTTCCTTTGCCAATGAACATTTGGGTTGCTTCCACCTTTGGGTTATTGTGAACAGTATTGCCATGAACATAAGTATACAGATATTTTTTGAGACCCTGCCTTCAATCTTTGAGATATAAACCCAGAAAAGAAATTGTCGGATCATATGGTAATTATTTTTTTTTAATTTTTTAAGGAACTGCCGTACTGTTTTCCATAGAAGCTACACCATTTTAAATTTCCACCAACAGTGAACAAGGATTCAGTTAATGTACTTCCTCATCAACACCTGTTAATTTTTGTTTTCTTGATAAGATCCATCCTGCTGGGTATAAGGTGATATCTCATTATGGTTTTGATTTGCTTTTCTCTGATGATTTGTGACGTTAAGCATCTTTTCAAATGTCTGTTGGCTATTTATATATCCTCTTTAGAGAAATGTCTTTTCAAGTTTTTTTGTCCATTTGTTATTCAGGTTTTGTTGTTGTTGCTGCTGTTGTGTTGTAAGAGTTTTTTTAAATGTATTCTTGTTATTACTTCCTTATCAGATCTATAATTTGAAAATATTTTCTCTTATTCCACAGGTGTCTTTCACTCTGTTAATTGTATCCATTGATGTGCAAAGTTTTCAGTTTTGCTCTGTATAGTCCAATTTATATGTTTTTACTTTTGTTGCCCGTAAAATTAGTGTTGTCTTAAGACACTAAATTTTGGGTAAAATGATTACACAGAAATAGCAAACAGAGGAGGCTATTATTTTATTTATCTATATTAATGATATAATTTGGCTCTGTGTCCTCACCCGAATCTCATCTTGAAATGTAATCCCACATGTCGAGGGAGGGGCCTGATGGGAGGTAATTGGATCACGGAGGCGGTTTCACTCATGCTGTTCTCGTGAAAGTGAGTGAGTTCTCATGTTATCTGATGGTTTCAAAGTGTGTCACTTCCCCCTTTCTCTCTCCTGCCATCATGTAAGACGTGCTTTGCTTCCACTTCACTTTCCGCCATGATCATTAAGTTTCCTGAGGCCTCCCCACCCATGTAGAATTGTGAGTCAATTAAACCTCTTTTCTTCTTAAAATTACCCAGTTCTGGTAGTTCTTTATAGCAGTTTGAAAACAGACTAACACAACTATTTTATTTCAGAGACAGTTTCACCGCATTGTTCAGGCTGTCCTTAAATCCCTGGACTCAAGTGATCCTCCTGCATCACCCTCCTAAGTGGCTGGGACTGCAGATATGCGCCAGCACTCCCAGCTATAGGAGGCAAAAAAATGTTTTCTTTGAATGCTTTGTAATAATCACTTTAAAATTATTATTGAAATATACTTAAGATGATGCTGGACATAAATTGTGAGGATATATCTTATAAAAGCAGATAACTGAATTGGAGAAATTAGTGAAATAGTTGACAGTATAAAGTGTAAAATAGTGGAGAGAGAGTAAAATCTAGAAAAGATGGGAGTTGAAAAATGTATAAAAGAGCTTAAGAATATGTAGGACAAGATGGGGAAATGATAACATACTTGTAACTAGAGACCTTGAAGAGAAGAAAAAGACAATGAAGAAAAGCAATATTTGAGGAGAAAATAATGGTAATTTTCAAGCCAAAAAGATGTCATGCCATGTGTTCAATGAGTTTTAAGAAAACCAAGCAAGTTAAATACAATAAAATGCCACACATAAATATGTTATGTAAAACCAATGAATAAAAATTAACAATGAGTCAACTATTTTACAATAAAAATGTCTGTACAACGCATTGAAGGAAATTATAATCGTCTCAATATATGGTATTCAATCAATTGCATATCAATGTAGGAAAAAGCATTAGTTTGTTTTTTGGAGACAGAGTCTTGCTGTGTTGTCCAGGCTGGAGTGCAGTGGTGCAATCTGCAGCCTCCACCTCCTGGGTTCAAATGATTCTTCCACCTTGGCCTCCTGAGTTGCTTGGATTCCAGAAGTGCACTACCACACCCAGCTAATTTTTGTATTTTTAGTAGAGACGAGGTTTCACTCTGTTGGCCAGGCTAGTCTCAACCTCCTGGCCTCAAGTGATCCACCCACCTCGGCCTCCCAAAGTGCTAGAATTACAGGCATGAGCCACCATGCCCTGCCCACAAATTTTATTCTCTACTTTGAACTACACAGAATCAATTCCTGATGGATAATAACCAAAATATGAAAGGTAAAATAAAACATCTTCAGATAGTAACATAGGATACTTCACAAAAGAATATCTAAATGATGAATTCATATATGAAAAGATCCTTAACTTCAATATTCATCAAGGAAATTCAAAGTTACAATGGCACATATAAATCAGAATGTCTAAAAATCGTTATGGTAATAAAAATATAAAAATCTGACAATATAAATGTTGGCAGGAATGTAGAATAACTAAAACTCTCATACTGGTGGAAATGGAAATGGATAATTCCATTTTGGAGAACTCTTTAGCAATGTTTACTAAAGCTGAACCCATATGTGTCTGATAAGCCAGCAGCTGCACCTCAGAGTACATGCCTGTATTAGAAATTCTTGGTGCCCCACCAATTTCCCTTAAAAATTCGCCATTTCCATTTACTCTAAACTGATGATTTTCTTAACTTCATACCTGTGACTTTTTTCTACATTATTTATCTGCCTAAAACATTCCCTGTAAACATATTATTTATGCCAGAATTGCTGATAAATTGAGTGTTCTAGGAACATCATCAACAATGGCTGAATTGACAGGAATTGGTAGATAATTTTCATGGCTTTTCCCCTCTAATTGGGATAACTTGGAGTCATTTGTGTAGCAACTACTTGCTACCCAAAGTAGTTACCGGTTGATGATGCAATCTTTATTGACTTTCTTCTTCACTCCTCACTTTTCAACCTCTACCAGGGCTTCCCGGGATTACCGCCCGTTTAAACTATTTATACTCACATTCTTTTCTTGAGGTCTGTTTCTGAGAGAACTCAAACTAAGACAAAAGTTATCTGGACACTAAATAAACAAATACACCAAAAATACATATAAAAGTGTTCATAGCTTTATTATTCATGAGAGCTCAAACTGAAAATAACTCTCATGTCTAGTATTGGTGCAATGGATAAACAAATTGTGTTACGTTAATGCATTGTAGTACTATGAAGCAATGAACCATTGGCATGTGCCATAACATGGATACAGCTCACAAACATGTTGTTTAGTAATATAAGGCAGACACAAAATTACACAAAGCAAATGATTTGTAGAGTTCAACATTTGGGGTTGTGATAAAATCAGAATATTAATCTGTGGGAGTAATTGTATTTAGAAGGAACAATGGGAGAATTTCTGGGCTAATGAGAATGCTCTATATCTTAATCAGGGTAGTGATTATGCAGATGTGTTCACAGTGTAAAATTTAATCTGTGCTCTTTTCCTTTACATAGATTTTACTTAAATACAAAGTTTACCTAACCAATCAAACAAATAAATAAGCAACATGGTAATATCCACCATGCTTAGAAAAGCCCTTTAATGCATGGATTAATATATAGCCAAACATTACTCTTTGAAAAGTTTCCTAAGAATTAATGATATAGAAAAGTGGTGGTTCTCAGACTTTAGTAAACATTGGGATTACATGAAAGGGTGTTTGGTGCATTTGAGGCGGAGCCTAGGATCTGCATTTTGAGTAAGCTCCCAGGTGATGCTGCTGCTTCTAATCCAGACACAACACTGTGAGAACTCATTAGACTATGGGATTCTCCTGTAGTAAGGAATGTCGGTGTCTGCAGCAGCAATTGCAAGGGGAAGTACCTCCTGGCTCCAAGCTGAACCTCTCAGGGGAGATGGAGCAGCAGAGGCTGGGTGCCTTGATCACACTCCTCTCTCTATGCTGCCATCCTGAGCTCCCATGCTCTACAGGGACCCTAATACTTCCTTGCTGCACTCCAGCACTCTCCCTCAGACATTCTAGTGAAATTTTAGTTTTTTGTTTGTTGCTTTGGTCCTTTTTTGTGTGCATGAGGACAAGTGCCAGGCACCTTTAGTCAGCCGTCTTGCTGATGTCACGTATTTTGTATATCATTTTGTTAAAGTTTTAAATTCAGATTTGTTTTCTGATATGTCTTGTCACTACAATTTATCAATCAGGAATATTTGCTTATTTCTTAATTGCTGCCTATAGATTTGTAAGTTCTTTATTGCCCAAAGGTATCCATTTGTAATGTCTCGGAAAGATGACTGTCCACATATATCCATTTGTAATGTCTCGGAAAGATGACTGTCCACATATATAATGCACAATAATCTGGTGTTTATTAATCACAACCAATTATTCATTTCAGACTATTGGTGGAAGACCTTTCCTCTGGAACTACTTTGCAAAACATCAGTGTGGTTAAATAAGGAAAAAAAACATAAAAAGAGCTTTGTTGGACTTCAGTGCTTATAGAACCACCTCTAATGTGAGAAAGAGACATAGGCAATTAAATAGAAGATCACTATTGCTCTTATTTGAGAGTCAATCAATCTATTCCTACTCTATTTAACCTCTGCTTTATGGCAAGCTAACACTTCTCCATTTTTCTAGCTATGTCCTAGCTGCATTCTCTGCCACAACATGGATAGTTATCAGAAATAGTGACTTAATTTTATTATATTTTCCTCATCAAGTATACTATTTTAAATATGTTAATATTAATTTAGCTGATTCACACTTTAAAACTTAGAAAGTACATTTGTATCCATGTTAATGAGAAGGGAAAAACATACTTTCTCAGTCCATAGTAATGAAAGCTGTACAATTTATATAGTTGTAGGAGTGTTGCAGTTCTGACACAAAACAGTAGGCAGATGTATCTGCAATGAGATCCACATGAAGAAAACACAGCAGAACTTTTTAATATAAAAATCAAGACATTTTTACAAATAAATAACACTTTCTTGATTATGTGTATATGTTTAACACAACATAAATGTGTATAATTAATACACAGGTGACCTTCAAGCTGACGCTATTCTTAGATCCTGGATATTCTTTATTTGTCTCTTAGAAACTGGGTAGAATAATGCCTAAAGTTATGCACTAAGGCATTGTCATTGGAACTGTAGAGTGTTGAAAGTATTTATTTTTCTCCCCTTTGAAACTTCATACATTAATAAAAACCACAACAACAGGATATACATAGTATTCAATAATTTAAAATATTCAGAGATATTTCACTTTAAAAGTTTCTTATTTGACCTTTCCCTGTGAAATAGGGAAGACAAGAAAATGGATGATCATCTCTCACCTAGTTCATTAAAATACCCTGTCAAAGATACCCTTGCATGAGATGAGGCTGGAGATCTGCAGTTTAGAAATCAAGCATAACATCTGGAACATAACAGAGCTACCGCCTCCATAAAATAAAGTAAATAGAAATATATACTATCACTCATGTATAAAATGAGAAAGATTATCAGTTATCCAGGGAAAAGTAAACAAAAAATGTACCCATTGGGAAATGAAAGCTGGATACATTAGATTGCATTATGTAGCCCCCAGAATTACACACTTGCCTTTAAACCAAACCAGCCCTGATGATTACTTGCATTCATCCCAAGTTCAAAAATCTAGGATACCAAGAGATCCTTAGGGTCAAGGTGACCAAAGTATCTGTACTACGGGTAGCTCCTGGCTACCCAGACAAGACCTACCTGATCACCTCCTGATCATGCAATAACTCTCACCTCCTGCCTGCATGCTTCCTGCCTCCTCCTTGGGGCATTTTTGTTAAGCATGAGAAACAATGTGGTAAAGAATATTTCTAGGCACATATATATATATATCTCATGGGTTGCACTTTTAACCAAAGGGAAAGATGATCCAGTTGATCCTGTAGGCAAATTCTTTGCCTTTTCTTTTTCCCTCCTTGCCCTGTGGTAGATTCACTCACAGCAACACTGCTGATATATATTTTAAAAGGCTGCTGAAAGGCATGATTCCAAGGATGAAGCAATTAGTCACCCTTAGCAGGGGGCAGACAGATAACACATCTTTGCATTGACTCTTTTTTCTGTACTGTTTCACTATCCTTGTTTCACATTTCTACTCTTGTGATTATGCTTGGTATTAAATAATAACATATTAGCCCTCTTCTATGAGCTTTCATTTTTCTAGACATCAGGTAAAAACACAAAGCCAAATGCCACATAAAAATTCACACTATGAAGTGAGTGAGCATACTGCTGAAAAATTAACAAAAACTAGTATCAGTCAAACAGTTGAAACTTCTATTGATCTGATTGAAATAAGAAGCTGTTCCTATAAAAACACTTCCATATCAGAAGGCTCATAGGACCCACACAAAGAAAAACACTCTCAGCAGCTATGGGCTCAAACTAAAATAATTGCGACTCACATAAATAAACTAGCATGAGCAAGATTAAGTATTGCAAAAATTCAAGAAAAGAACTTCAAATAATAGAATACTAAGAACAAATCTATTTAACAATCTGTTTAAAATAATCGAAGACGTACACTGAAGAGGGGGAAACAAAATCAAATAACCATGTAGTATTAACAAGAGTAGGTACATTTTCTACAGAAGAATCAAATAAAAATTCCATAAATGTAAAACATAATACAGTAATTGGCAATAAAATCTCAGTGCATCTAATAAAGAGCAGATTACACAAAGCTGAAGAGAGAATTATTAAACTGAATTTGGTGTCTAAGGAAATCAACCAAAATGGAGCACAGAGAAATGAAAACACTATAACGAATTTTTAAAAAATGATTATTTATCACTGGCAACAGAATTTAAAACTTCAATATGTTTCTATTAGGAATTGCAGAATGATAGGAAAAAGAAATGACAGAATGTATAATGTCTAATCATTGTGCCAATGGCCAAAAAAAATTTTCTAGAATTGAATTACTGCAATCACAAAGTTGTTTGGCTTACCTTTCCATTTAGGGCTCAAAAATAATAAGGCATTTAAAAACACTTTTAAATTTATTTTTATTTTTAATTGCCATTTAATTGTGTATCATTTTGGGGTATAGTGTCATGTTTTGATGCAGGTATAAAACGTACAATAATCAAATTAGTGTAATTAGCATGTCCATCACCTCAAACGTTTATTACTTCTTTGTGTTAAGAACATTAAAAATCCTCTCTTCTAGCTATTTTGAAACATACACTGTATTATTATTAATTAGAGTCACCCTACTGTGCAATGGAACACAAGAACTTATTCTTCCCATCTATCTGTAACTTTGTACCATTGATTAACCTCTCCCCATCACTCTCCTGCTCAGCTTTTCCCATCTCTGGTAACAACTATTATACTGTCTACTTCTATGAGATCAACCTTTCAGACTCCACATATGAGTAAGATCATGTAATATTTGTCTTTGTGTGATTGGCTTACTTCATTTGATATAATGTCTTCCAGGCTCATCCATGTTGCTGCAAATGACAAGATTTCATTCTTTTTTATGACTCAATAATGCTTAATTATGTAAATAAACTACATTATTTTCTTTGTACATTTATTTGTTGATGAACACTAAGGTTGATTCCATATCTTAGCTACTGTGAGTAGTACTGCAACAAACATGGGTGTGCAGATATCTCTTTGATATACTGATTTCATTTTCTTTAGCTACATACCCATTAGTGGGATTGCTGATCATATAGCATATCCTTGATGGACATAGATGCAAACAAAACCTCAACAAAATAATAGCAAGCCAAATCAACAGCTCATCATAAAGATTATTTACCATGATTACATGGGATTTATCCCAGGGTTGTTAGGATGATTCAACATATACAAATCAATAAATGTGATACATCACATTAACAGAATAAAGGACAAAAAGCATATGATCATCTCAATAGATGCAGAAAAAGCATTTGATAAAATTAAACATCTCTTTATGATTTAAAAACTCAACAAATTAAGGATAGAAGAAATATATTTCAACACAATAAAGTTTGCATATGACAAACCCACAGCAAACATAATACCGAAAAAGGAAAGGTTAAATTTTTTTCCTCTAAAACCTGGAACATAACAATAATGCCCACTTTTACCAGTTTAATTCAACATAGTACTGGAAGTCCTAGACAGAGCAATTAAGTTAAGAGAAAGAAATAAAGAGCTTCCAAATTGGAAAGGAGAAAGTCAAATTGTCCTTGTTTGCAGATAACATGATCTCGTCTATAGAAAACCCTGAAGACTCCACACACATACAAAAAAATCTATTAGAAGCAGTAAATAAATTCAGTAAAGTTTCTGTACATAAAATCAACATAAAAATTCAGTAGTGTTGCTATACATTAATAGTGACTATCTGAAAAAGAAATCAAGAAAGCAATCTTATTTGTAATAGTTACAAAAAAAAATACCTAGGAATAAATTTAATCAAGGAGATGAAAGATCTCTTCAATGAAAACTATGACATGCCGATGAAAGAAACTGAAAAGGACACAAATAAATGGAAAAATATCCCATGTCCATGAACTGGAAAAATCAATATTGTTAAAACATCCATAAATTATAGACTTAATTCAATCTCTATAAAAATACCAATGACATTCTTCACAAAAAATGTTTTTAAAATCCTAAAATTCATATAAAAACTTAAAATGTGTACAAAATTTAAAAACCCTAAATAGCCAAAGTAATCTTGGACAAATAGGATGAAGCTGGAGGCATCACATTACCCAACTTTAAAATATACTACAAAGCAATATTAATCAAAACACCAAAGTACCGGCATAAAAATAGACACAGATCAATGGAGCAGAACAGAGAACCGAGAAGTGAATTCACACATTTATAGCCAACTGATCTTCTACAAAGGTGCAAAGAACACATATTGGGGAAAGGAGAGTCTCTTCAATAATTGGTGCTGAGAAAACTGAATATCCACAAGCAGAAGAATAAAACTAGACCCATCTCTCATCTTATGCAAAAATCAATTCAAAATGCATTAAAGATTTTAAGACCCTGAGCTATGACACTACTCAAAGAAAATGGGGGAAATTCATCATGACATTGGTTTGGGCAATTTTTTGGATATAACCTCAGAAACACAGGTAACAAAAGCAAAAATAGAAAAATAGGATTATATCAAACTAAAACGCTTCTGCACAGCAAAAGAAAAAAAATTAACAGAATGAATAGACTACTTTCAGAATGGCAGGAAATATTTGCACCTATGCATCAGACAAGGGGTTAATATCCATAATATATAAGGAATTCAAACAACTCAATAGCAATCATCATCATCATCATCAATTTTTTAAGTGGACAAAAGATCTGAATAGACATTTCTCAAAGGAAAACCTAAAAAGTGGCCAATATGTATATGAAAAAATATTTGACATCACTAATCATCAGGGAGATGTAAATCAAAACTGCAATGAAATATCATCTCACCCCATTTTGCATGGTCATTATCAAAAAGAAAACAAATATCAAATGCTAGTGAGGATGTAGAGAAAAGGCTACTGTTATACACTGTTGGTGGGAATATAAATTAGTACACTCATTATGGAAAACAGTATGGAGATTCTTTAAAAAAATAAATTTATTTTAAAGCTCTTAACACAGTTTCTTTTTTGCATTTTTATTTTAAATATTTGGATTGGAATTTCTCTGGATATAGTATCTTTTGTTCACAAGGCATGACTTTCAATCAGTATCCAGATATGTCTAACACCAGAGTTTTGTTTTCAATTGACCAGAAAAAAAAATTCCTTAACAAACTTGGAATCCCACAGACTTCTTTATGCCATACAGGGTATATACCCAAAGGACTATAAATCATGCTGCTGTAAAGACACATGCACACGTATGTTTATTGCGGCACTATTCACAATAGCAAAGACTTGGAACCAACCCAAATGTCCAACAATGATAGACTGGATTAAGAAAATGTGGCACATATACACCATGGAATACTATGCAGCCATAAAAAATGACGAGTCCATGTCCTTTGTAGGGACACGGATGAAATTGGAAATCATCATTCTCAGTAAACTATCGCAAGGACAAAAAACCAAACACTGCATGTTCTCACTCATAGATGGGAATTGAACAATGAGAACACATGGACACAGGAAGGGGAACATCACACTCTGGGGACTGTTGTGGGGTGGGGAGAAGGGGGAGGGATAGCATTAGGCGATATACCTAATGCTAAATGACGAGTTAATGGGTGCAGCACACCAGCATGGCACATGTATACATATGTAACTAACCTGCACATTGTGCACATGTACCCTAAAACTTAAAGTATAATAATAATAATAATAATAATAATAATAAAAGAATCACCTTCCTGTATTGCCTGCCGCCCAATGCCTCAAAGAGTTACCTCACATATTTTATTCGATTTTATAGTTGCTTATGGTAGAAGGGCAAGTTTGGAAGCAGTTACCCTATCATGGCTGAAAATAAAATTTCTACAGCATTGTATTTAAGAGCAAAATTGTGAACTAAAAATGAGAAATACATTAAATCTTAATTAATATGTAATTGGTTGAGTAAATTATTATGCATACTTATCTTCTTTTTTTTTTTTTTATTTATTTTTTTTTTTTTGAGACGGAATCTTGCTCTGTCACCCAGGCTGGAGTGCAGTGGCGCGATCTCGGCTCACTGCAAGCTCCGCCTCCCAGGTTCAAGCCATTCTCCTGCCTCAGCCTCCCGAGTAGCTAGGATTACAGGCACTTGCCAACACGCCCGGCTAATTTTTTGTATTTTTAGTAGAGACGGGATTTCACCGTGTTAGCCAGGATGGTCTCAATTTCCTGACCTCGTGATCCGCCCACCTCGGCCTCCCAAAGAGCTGGGATTACAGGCGAGAGCCACCGCGTCCGGCCTATGCATACTTATCTTTAAACATCATCCTGCCCTTGAAAATAATAACATTAAACGATGTATAAAACACATTGTTAATTTTTTGAGACTATGCCCAAAGCCATCATTATGTATGTATCTCTGTGTGTGTGTGTGTGTGTGTGTGTGTGTGTATATATATATATATAATATGTACATGTATAGATATGCAAAATGTAGAAAGAAAACTGCAAGGATAAACTCAAAACTGCTGATAAATAATTACTGTGAAGAGTAGGAGTGAAAATATCAGTGTATGCAAACTTCGTGTTTTAGTCTATAGAGACTTTGTGATGTCTGCATCATTCACAATGTGAAAATGAAATAATACTTCTCAAAATAAAATAATCAAATGGACTTTTTATTAGTAAATTGCTTGGGAATCACTGTCTACACTTTTTACTCTTGTTTCTTTGTAGGACCTGCTATAACTTCAGTGTTGGAAGCATCAATGGTTAAGAAATGTAAAACTAGACAGATTTATAAAAATAAAATTATTTTCTTTGCACTGACTGGCTAACTTTTAGTTTTGACACATAATCTGTGCAGCAGTCTCTCTTACGCTTTCTGTGCTTTATAATACTGCATATCTGAAATACTCTTTCTTTGCTATTACTGGAAACTGACATGAAGGATCCACTTTCTCCTGCAAATATGACATGCCAATTTTCAGGGAGGATTTGAGCAGTAAACACTTGACAAAATTTATTTATTTTCAAATTGTGAGACTCAGAATCTCTCCCAGGCCCAGGTTTGAACATTTGAAAACTAGTTTTATGTCTTTCAAAATCTTGACAGTGGTGGGGATTCAGAGCATGCCAGCAATGTGTCAAACTACATCAGTCCCTCTGTCTCCAGGAATGATTGAGACTATTTTTTATGATGAATTCCCAAAGTGTGATTCACTCAAAATCAACTCATTCAAACAAGAATTCTATTCCTGAGAGTTCAAAAATTCATGGAAATTGGATCTAAAAATGACACAGGTTAGCCAATCATTTCTTCGCCTTCCACCTTTCACCTTATAACTACTATTCTCTAGAAAATCGGTCACACCAATATCAAGATTTCCCCTAATTAAACTATTGGGAATATAACGCCATAACTGGTAAATATTTCTATAAAAATGTATTCCATATATTCTAATTGCATTTAACCCTATAAATGTGTTATCAATTTGACACAAATCTCAGTGTCAGAATTTCTAGACTCTGAAGAGAGACTGCCTTCATTCAAGTCCTGGCTCTGTCAGTTTACCACACAATTTGGGTTAAGGTTATTTAACTTCTCTGCGCTTTTTTCCCTCATCATTAAAATGAGGATAATAATGATGCCTATATCAGGATTATTTGAGAATACAATTCTTTGTTTTCACAATTACATGGGCTTAATAAATACTCAGTACATGTTAATTATCATCAGCACCATCATCATCATCTACACGTTTATTATCAGTATATCATCTCCCAGGGGCTTAAATTATTTCACTCTATTGCAAACCAGTAATGGTTTCTAGTGAATTGATTTATTGTCTGTTTTCTTTAAGAATTTTACCTTCTCCAAGTTGTGCCAAACTAACAATAATTGCTTATTTTTAAAAAACGAATAATGGCTGTAGTGTTAGAAGAATGAACCCCAAATTCAAAGAAAATGGTCAATGAGTTTTAGCTGACCTCAATATCATTTGTTTGAATTCATTTACACAATAGCTTACCATTTAACTAATAATAACCTGCTTTAGATGCTACAGACAGATGCTCATTAAATCCTTACTAAATTAATGATGATTTTATACAAATATATATATATAATATATAATCATTTCCATTTAATATTGAGGAACTAGGATTTATTAAACAGATTAGGCACCTTAAGTCTGACATTATATATATATTTCTATGAATGGGTTGCTAAGCAAGGCTTTGGGGTCTGTATATCTTGTTCCTTGGAGAGCAACTTTTCTTAAGAGAAGGAGCTCCAATCACTAGTAACAAAAAGGAAATGCAATTCAGACTCCTACATCTAGCCACTGTACCCATGCTACCAATTCTTTGAAAGTGGTAGGACTAATGAACCTCCACATAAGCCATATCCTTTCTTACCTTTTGTAACTTTCTTTTCCACTTGATGTTTACTTTAAACTGACTCCATTCAGAACAAGGTCGAGCTTCTGGAGCACAAGACAATGTGATTATTTCTTGCCCACACAATCTCCTTCCAAGGATGATGTGGAGACTTCAAAGGAGAGAAAGCATTGCCCTGGGGAAACCTGAGAGAAATGCAGTAGAGGCTGAGGTAGGACTATAGCTGGAGTGTTTAAGGAACAGCAAGGACCCAGTGCAGCTGAAGAGGAAAGAATGGTCCAAAATGAGATTGGAAAAGCAGCCAGAAGTCACATTACAGAGGACCCTGGAGGTTCTATTAGAGAGTTAAGTTTTACTCTCGCTGAGGTGGTAAGCCACTGGAGGGGTCCCAATACGGTAAGACATTATCTTTTTAGTGCCTTAATGACTTGCTGGCTGTTGTGTGCAGAATAGACTTGAAGAGACCTGAGAGTAGAAGGAAGATGGGAAGGCTGTGTGGGTTATTGACTCTTCATTTTACGGTTATTAATACCCACATCACTTTTTGCTCTATATTAAAGTAGGCTTGAAGTCAGCAACCATTTCAGGTTCATTTTTGTATCTATTTCAATGCTTACCACATTCTCTTTTAATTTTCAAAAAAATATTTATTTATTTATTCATTCATTTTCAATACTTCCAGCATTTAGAAATCTACTGGAGGACTATCCAGCAAGGGGCATGATAATGAGCCATAACAGACAGCAAGAGGAAAAAACAGACTGGCTGATATCCTGACAATGAAGAGAAGAATGGAGATCTGCTGTATCAAGTGCTACTGAAAGGTTTCCATTGAATTCAACAACCTTAGGATCACTGGAGCCCTAAAAGAAAAGAAAAAAAAATAGTTTCAATGAAGTGGCAAGGCCAGAAGATGCAGTGCAATGAGTTGAGAAACAGCCACAGCCAGACAATCAGAACACCTCTGATCTCTATTGTCATTGAGCCTTTATGTCTAGAGGATGACCCATGGCAATTTCAAAATTACTAACTTGGTGCCAAGTCCTCAAAAATATTTATTAAAAGAATAGTAATTATAAAAATAATTAAATTCTCATGGTTTCAAATGTAGTTTAATAAGGCTACAAATAGAGTACATTTTAGTTACTGTTTTATTTTTTATTATAATAACAATTTTTTCCATAGTTTGTGAATAAAAAGTCTCCCAAATTACAGATATTACATAATCAAAAGACTTGGAAAGGCAACACAGGCTATCACCAATGCATTGTAATTGTATAAAGAAGAACATGTATTAAATGGCCACTTGAATGCATGGTTTTGTAGAGAAATACTGTTTCATTATCTATGTTGGCAATATTTCATCATCTCTATATTTACATCAGACTAACAGGATTTTGTGAAGATTCCAATGAACTAAATTTGCATATATGACATGCATATGCTGTATAAAATCTACACAGTATTTAAATTATTACATAATCTTGCCCAATAGAGATTAGTGACAAGAAACACATGCAACCTCAACTTTCTTTCCTCTGGTCAAAATGCATTTCATTCCTTTGCAAAAAGGAAGAGACTAAGCCTCATCTATCATTTCAGAATTGATATGCATAACTTTGGCTGAACTTATCTCCTGCTTGTAAATCCTTATGTAGCGAGAGAGGGATATAACATAAGCCTGATGATTGAAAACAGTATTAAGTAACTAGGTGCTACACAATTCACAATGTCATGTAAGAGTAGCACAGTCAATATTAGATAAAGCATAAAGAACTCCATGGGGAAAGTAAAACAATTTGGAGTATTAAAGTCATTATTATGTGACTGTCTGTTTTACCTCTTTTTGGTTAAGTCTTAACAAGACCACATGTAATTGTGTTTCTCTAAAACCCAGTAATAAAAAAGACATGAGAAATTAACCAATTGCATTTTATAATGAGCAATTCTATGAGTTTCTCAAATCCTAGAACTTATCTATTCTTTATTTTTCACAGCATTATAAAATAAAGTAAGTATCCATTGGTAATCTGGTGTTTGATACATTTTTTCCCGTTTTTGAGGCAAAGTCCAATAAGACAAATTTTTTGAAGCCTGAAAATTAATGATAGCCTTTTAAACAAATTCTAGGAAGTAGGAAGTCCTTTCTGTTTCTTTGAAAACATTAAATTCACATAAATTTAATCAGTGCCAATATTGTCTACTTCTCTACTATTTCAAAGCTCATCTTGACCCAATCATATAAAAAATGAAAAAACAAATGGTCTTGACATTCTTGACTGTTGTACTATTTTTCAAATTCCTGTTGTGATAAGATAGCATTTCTCATTTAAATATTGTCGGTACATATTAACTCTCCTCAGTAACGACAACATTTGAGAATCATATTAACTATTACAGTTACTATTGCTGCATAACAAACCACCACAAAATAACATTTTCAAAAAATTAATTTCATGCACTCTCTGGGTCTGTAGTGCTTAGAGAATATAGCAAGAAAAACTTTGATCTGCCTCATGGTGTCTAAAGCCTTATCTGGAAAGGTGTAAAGGCTGGGTTGTCTTGAACAAAGGGAGCTGGAATTATCTAAACAGCTCCAATGGCCAATGCTGGCTGTTGCCTGGGATCGCAGTTAAGGCTGGTGACTAGAACCCACACATGGCCTCTCTCTGAGGCCTGCACTTTCTCATAGCATGGCCCTCTTAAGGTAGCTCTCACATAATGGCTCAGGGGTCCAAAGATACATTTGCTAGGCAGCAAGCCAGAAATTATATGTATTTTATGACTAGGTCTTGGAAGTTATGTTGCATTATTTCTGCTAAATTTAATTGGATACAAATTAATCACAAACCAACCCAGATTCAAGGAAAGGGCAGTTAGGTACCAGATATGGATGACAGAGAAGTAATGTTCAAAAGAGTATATGGGATGTGAGATATTGTATGGCCATATTGGGAAAATACAATCTATTTCATTTACTTTTACATTCCAGTAGCAAGTCAGATGTACTTAAATGAAGGTCTTGGCCCAAGCAACAGTAGTAACCAGAGCAGACAACCTGTGCTTGAGACAAAATATTAAAGTAGGGGCTTTCCTATTTCACTCAATGACTGAATACTCAGATATGAAAACTAAGAATACCTTATGCCAATATATCCTAAAGAGATTTGGGAAACTTCTGAAGATTTGCTAAGGAGTAAATAAAACCCATTTGATATGGTTTGGCTGTGTCCCCAGACAAATCTCATCTTGAATTGTAGCTCCCATAATCTCCACTTGTCATGGAGGAGACCCAGTGGGAGGTAGTTAAATCATGGGGGCTGGTTTTTCCCTGTGTTATTCTTGTGGTAGTGAGTAAGTCTCATAAGATCCAATGGTTTTATAAAGGGCAGTTCCCCTACACATGCTCTCTTACCTGCCACCATGTAAGACATGCCTTTGCTTCTCCTTTGCCTTCCACCATGATTGTGAGGCCTCCCCAGCCAAGTGGAACTGTTAGTCCATTAAACATCTTTTTCTTTGTAAATTACTCAGTCTCAGGTATTTCTTCATAGCAGTATGAAAATGTGCTAATACACCATTTATACCACCTTGGCTTCAAAACCCACCTCCAAACTATAAAACGATAAAATGATGTTCAAAGAAAAAATTGTAGTTAAAATAATTTTTTGTGACTCATTGAACTGAATGGACTCCCAGCATTCATGAACTTCTTATAAGAGGATAAATTCATGGAGAATATTTACATGTTCTTAAAACAGAATGTGAGGGCTCTAGACATTTATAAGTTTCTGGGCAAGTACATCAAGATTTACTACTTAAATTTCCATCTCACAAACTCCTACTTAGTCTAAAATACTTATGGTCCCTCACTTATTCCACTTTATGTGTCCTAACTGGTCTCCTCACATCCATGTGCCTCACTCCAATCCCTTCATCGCAGTTTACAGAGTAGTTTTCAACAAATCTAATCAGTCCACTCTTCTGCTTAAAATCCTCCAATGTCTGCCTAATTGAAGAACCTTCAACAGGAGTCTGCCTCTACTTGGCTCTGGCTTTGTTTCATACTTCCACCTCCTCATGAGTGACTTTCAAATCTCCAGCACCCCTTCCAGTGCTCCCATCGCTGGTACTCTCCTTGCTAGCCATTCTGAATTCCCATGACTCTTTAAAACTCTACAACTTTTCTTAGGCCTCACAATTTTCAACATGTCTTTTTTAATCTACCTGATGTTCCCTCTGACTTTACCACTTTGAAAGAATAAGTGGTATATTCCAATATTACTAGGAGTTCCCTTCATATTCTGTATGTTTCTTATTCTAACAGTTACCACACCTTATAAAAATTATTTTTTCACATCTCATTCTTTCTCCAGAAGATAAATGCCGTGAAAAATAGTGACAAATATCTATGTTGACTGCCATTCAGCATTTAGTAGAGTGTTAAGCATATAATAACTCATTAAATATCTGTTGAAATAATACATTTTTAAAAACAGTTTTCAAATTATTTTTCAGCTTCTTGATAGTGCACTGGCAGAATTTCCAACATACATATTTATATCATTATATGCTTTTAGAATGTGTTTCTCTTCTTTTTAAAAGCTTTATACAAGGAGAAAAATAAAAATAAAGCACCAGGGAAAATACTGTTGTGGTGAGAGTATTCTACATATACACATTTGTACCAAGATAAATATTACCACTTGCCCAGGTGTGTAGTTTTCTTATCCATTCTGTACTACAGTCTTATCAGCTGCTTGCTTTGGAAATGCTTTATTTCCATTATAGCTTTCCTTGTTTAGAGCTGTTAAGTTTTTAATCACTAATGTCTTTTTGTACAATCATATGCAATCACATGTTTAGGTTATGGCTTGCACTCTCTCTCTCCCCGCCCCCCTTCTCTGTCTCTCTCTTCTTAGAATCCTTAATATTCTGAGTGTGGGCCTATATTTTATAGCAGGATTGCAAGTAAAACAAGTTGATATTTTAACATGAAGAAAATTTTATGATGTTTCTCAAGGGCACTAAAAACTCTACCTTGAAATTTTCTTAGGGCAAAGGGGCAAATGACAGGAATATAAAAAAGACTTAAATATCAAAATATGTACCTTTGAATGTACTTGTGAGCAGGAAGTGGTTCCTGGAATTTAGTAATAAATTTAGCCTAGTAAGAGTACAGTGCTTCAGAAGCTGTGATTATGCCAAAGCACGGTCATTATCTTAGTGGATGGAAATGACAGGAAGAGTATGCACACCTAGACATCTCAGCAGATGCCTTAAAGTGGAAAAACAAGTGGAACTTCCTTTCATCTGAGCAAAACCATTTATAATTTAGAGAATGTGACTACCTCCAAGTTCAGAATGCATGAGCCAAGAAATTTGACTTTATCAGCTTCTTATAAGAAAGAGGTTTAATAATAAACAAATGTCATACGGATTAAGAAAATAAAATCCATCAGTCAAATGTTCTCCCACACACAGAATAAAACAAAAACAGAAACAGCTGTAATAGAGGCTTTAAGTACTACCATTTGAAGTAATCAAAACATTATCCATTTATTAAAAAAATATTTCCATTTCTTAATGATGCCCCTTTGTATTGTTGAGTGATTAGTTCCTTTGGGGAAGCTAGCTGTTAATAAATAAGGTCTCATGTTAAGATCTTTGTTCGTAAATTATGTGAGAAACTCTGGTTAATTAATTCCCTTCAGTTGTGGGGGAGACCATAGTTAATTTATACTTGGTAAAACAGAATGATGAAAATGCTTATATAAACAAGTAATCACTTCTTTATGACATAAGCTAAAAAATTAATTAATACTTGTGAATACAAAAGCACTTTCAATTTAACTTTCCTTTTATTCTTACAATGCACATGAGACATAAAGCACAGGAATATTTTTGGAACTTTTTATATGTAAAAAGAGAAAAATCATTCTTGTTTTCCAACTTTTAAGTATTTTTCCAGGACATTTCTTCAATTAAAAAAATTTCTATATGTGTACATAGAGATACTTTTAAAAACTGAGTAGATTTCTGAGTTACACCCCTCTTGTCAAGATTCACACCCCTCTCATCAAGATGTCCAGCATGCATCTGTGACCTGTTTTAAAATACCTGCTGGGTGATTCTGGGAATGTTTAGGATTAATAATCCCTGCTCTACTCAATGTAAACCCTTCTCTTTTATGTCAGTCACTCCCAAAGTTCTATTTTCTCTAAGTGGGTGATTTCCTCATCTGCATTTATAGTCTTGATATGTCAGCAGAAATTCCAATCAGCAATTCTAACTCCACATTGGATTTTTCCATGTGGATGACCTGTCAAACCCAAGTTAATGTTCAACAATAAATCCATGCAGAGGCTTTAAAAGAGGCACACAGTTTAAAAAGCAGAGGTCTGTGGTCAGTGGATATTTCAGTGTTGTTTTGGCCTTCATTTTACATCAGTTTGCTTCTTTTGATTGTGTTTATTACACCCTCTGGGATCTGGCCTTCATTCTAAGTCTTTAGTAATATGTCACATTTTCTAAATTCAAAGATGTTTTCGAGCATTTTCATTCTAATTCCTGTACATTCAGAAAGCTGGAATTATTTTCTTTCCCTGTATTTTCTGGGAAGACTTTTAAGTATTGATATTGAATGTTAGACTTTATCTTTCTGAAATCGATCAATATTATTACAAACAGAATGTCAGGGTTTCCAGACCTTGCAAAGAGCTTTTAAATCAAGATCAGTTGGCATGTGTAAAGGCAATAAGTTTATTACTTGTGACCTCTGAGGAATTCTTTCTCCAAACTATGAGGAAAGGCTTTGATTGCAGACACACATTTTCCTTCAATAATATTTATGCTGGCTATTACGACAATGTGTAATTTTAACAAAGCAAAGTTTTGATGAGGAAGGTCTATAAGAATATGCAATAATATGAAAAAGAACTTCACTAATAAAAATCTTTGTAAAAGTTTATCATTTGAACTTTACTCAAAGGTAAACTTGTCTACAACTGTGACGTTGAAACATGAACTCAGCATGTTTTCTAACAATCTTGCAACCCAAATATTTCAACTTCTATTCCCCGGAAAACACAAACACCAAGGTGAGGATTAGGGATGAGCTCAGTACCTTCTCTGTCTATCTGCCTAGATTGTATCCTTATTCTTCAAGACCCATTTCAAACACACCTTCTGCATAATGCCTCACATGATCCCATGTTAGACATGATTTTTCATTCCTTTAAAGCATACCACATTAACTTGGTTTTTATAGAAATTATTTTATGATGCTCCATATTGCTATTATGTAAACATCTAATTTTCCTATCTTTGAAGACATTATTTCCTATACTATCTAAAGGTCTGTTTCGTGCAATAGGTACTCAAACACCTGAGTCACATAATAGCTACTCAGATACCCAAGTCACATAATGGTACTCAAATACACAAGTTAATTGAACCAGTTTCACCAGCACTCAATCTGTGTCTCTTCCAATTTATTCAATTTGAAACACGTGAACCTTTGCCAGTTTCAGTAGTAGAAATCAATCTTATTAGTGAAACTAACAAGTGGTGAAAGCAATATTCGGTAGAAGAAAGGTCAGGGAGTAGTGATGAGGAAGTCTTGCCACTCTTGGCCCACAAACCACAGAACAACTTCATGTTTCAACATATCCTCTCTCTCCTATTGCTGCTTGGGCTGTTATCACAGCAGCACCAGAAAGTCTTTACATCAGTTTCTGACTGCCACATAATATTGCCATGTCAAGTATGGAACTGAGTTCTCAGAGATGCTGCCTAATTGATAGCAAGATCAGGATTCATGGGAATCTTTGTCAGTCTTAATCAAGAAATTAGGGGAAAAGACAACTCTGAGTGATAGAGAAACAAGTAGAATCAGTCGTTCATGCCACCAATTTGTTTCTTCTTATTTCTTCCCCACACCTCCCCACTCCACCCCCTTTAGAATTTGTTTCCTGCTATGAAGATGCAGTCTAAACAGCTTTCCTTCCTTTTTACTTTGCTTTTTACTTTCTAATACGTTATAGCATATTAGAGAGGCATTTTAGAATAATAGATTGAGAGATTTGGGTTGCAGATCCTGATTTTGAGAATGCAATTAAAGAAAAAATAATAGCATATAATGGCATGATATAACCATTTAGCATATATTAACTCATTTCATCCTTATATTTATATGTTTGTTACCAATATTATCCACATTTTGCCCATGAAGGAATCAAAACCTAGACTGCATTAGGACCTTGCTCAGCATCACAAAACTACCAAGTAGAATGCCTCTGAGCAAGACATAGAAGGTCCAAAACCTAAATTTTATCTAGGGGTATTTTTTATGGACCAGGAAAAATCTGACAATATAAGTCTGAAACTCATTCATTCTTTATTTCTCTTACACCAACATTTAATTCATTAACAAACTGCGTTACTTTTTCAGGGACGTCTCAGAGATCAGATTATTAAATTGTTAACCCAATCCCACCCCCAGCCTGGGCATCCTCCATTCTTTTTGTTTTCTACCTAGAATGTATTATTATCTAATATGCTATTATATGGGCTTATATATTATATTTGTATGTTCCATCTTCATCTCAGCAGCCCCTTCCATACCTTCCATAGCTCTGATAGAATATAAGCTCCACAAACAGTTTTGTTGTGGTAGTTTTTTGTTTGTTTGTTTGTTTTTACTAATTCGTTCAGTTTTCTATATTCAGGCCATGGAGCACTGCCTGGTACAGAAGAGATAAATATTTGTTGAATTAGCAAATTGTTTAGTTACTCATATTAATTATTGAATAAAGCAGCAGAATCTTCCTTTCAAATTTATGTTTGTATAAAGCATTGTTTAGAATTAAGAAAAACAAAAAAGTGTACCAAGAACATTTCTCTCATAGATTTACAAAAGTCTGTCTTTTCTTCCTCTGTAATAGCAAAATAATAATATTTTCTTATTTGGAAATAGGGCAAGAGCATGTCTCAGTTGGAGCCTCTTGCTCTTTTCTTTCATATTGAAACAACCCCACCTTGTGGAATGAAGGGTAAATTTGCCAAAGTCTCAAATACTCGGGCAGCATTTTTGCAACTGCAGATATATAGGGCACTGCGTACTTTTGGCTCTTTCAAGTCTCTGTTGATTTCCAAATGTTTCATAACTACTGTGGGTGGAGGTGCTGGAAACACAGGCTGTTTACTGTCCCAATTGAGCCACTCCCTGAGGTGATGTTTGAGCAGCAAACTTTGATTCGCTATTTTTTTTTTTTAAGAAATATTCCTTTGCCTCATAGTTGTGCCAGAATATTATTTGTTCTAGTTTGTTTTCCTAGAAGAATACCATACTTTCTCATAAAATGTATGTAAGTTCTAAGGTGGTGTATTTATACAATTATAAGGCAACCAGAGACGACTACAACCAGTGAAGATGGACAGTTCTGGATTGATTAAGGAAATCAATGACTATATCCTGAGATAATTCAGACTGAATAGGAGCTTTTGCTAGGAAAAAAAGATGTTCTAGATTATATTGTACTCTGGGCAGTAAAAATTCCAATTTAAGCTGAAAGTATTGTAAGGAAATAACTATGTGTTCCTCAGTGCTAATAGCCTTAGAAGTTCCAAGGATAATTTGTTTGATTGATGGACTATGGCAGATGACACAGAAAATATCATATTTTATATTTAAATGAATACAACCACTGTGTATTGTTTACTCAAAATTACTTTTGGTTTGAAACAATTTTTCTTCCTTTTAGTAAATATAGAAAAGAGCAAATTGCTTTACAAATATTATTGGTTTTAAATAAGTCTTCCTTCACATCTTAATTTTTTAAGTAAATTCTTAAAGAAATCAATTTACCCAAAGTTCCTTAAATAAAAACTATTCTAATTTTCTTGTTATCCTTCTATTTGTATCATACTTTTGTATGTATTTTATATTGTTCAATATATTTTATATTGAACAAGTATATTATATTATACTTGTTCAATATAATTGAACATTATATTATATTGTTCAAGTATTTTATATTGTTCAATATTCATGTGGTTTACATTTTAGACATTTCCCTTAGTATTTATAGTTAATATGTTTTGACGCTGTGAGCATTTTTCATATCTAAGTAATATTTCTTTAATATTAAGTATCATAACACATGTAATAATTCTTCCATTTAAAAAAATTTATAATTTCTCTCTACTGTAATCAGAATATGAATTGCTACCATTTTATGACTGCAATATTCTTTAGAAAAATTATTGAATAAAGTCAAAAGAGAGAATAGAGATAAACATCACATTTAAATTCAATGTTTATGTATAAGAACATCTTGGGTAATACAGGTTAGGTTTTTCTCAATAACAATCTAGTTACCTCTTCTCCCTATACGTTCTCTGCATGATGTGAAAGACAGAAAGATTTCATTTTCCTTGCCAGTGCTTATAAGGGCAGTTATAGATAACCCACTCTGCCTCTTCCTTCAGGATGTTAAGTAGAAGTAAAATCCCAAGAATACACAGTCCAGAGTGGGTTTCCAATACCCACCAAAACCTAGCATGAGCTGTTGTATAATTAGATCAGACTGCGCATAAAGCACTTTGAACAATGCCTGGCATAGAGCAAGAACTCAATAAATGTTAGCTGTTGTTACATTTTTACATCTATGTCTGTTGAAAGGTACATCTATTCTCCATGGATCCCATATTCATTCTCTAAAGCTCCATAATATTGTTAAAATATTTTGAAGCAATAAGAGATTCTGTGAACCAGTAGCTTCCCCAATATAGTCATGCATAGCTGGGGCTAGAATTCAATCACAGAAATATTGTTTGTTTTTCTTCTTTCCACACACAGTTAAAGAAAACATAAAATAAATTCATTAATCTTAAACTATAATAAGCTCCAAATTGTAGAATCAGAAAGACTACAATTGGTTTTTTACATTTCAGGTAAAATTATAAGATATAATCTTATCACATAGCAGCCAAAAAAAATCTTAAAAATCTAAAATAAAATGATTGCTTATGTAAATGCAGATTTGAGATTATTATAAGAGGAGAAGATCATTATTCTTTTCAGTTTCAAAGGAAATGAATTCTAAGATTTTAGTCAGAAAATGGCATTAGTGTAACACTCAGAATTGATAACTCTTTAAGTGTTATTTAATAGGGTTGAACATTGTTAATTTCAGGGTGATGGTAGGCTCTTCTCCCTGTGGTGAATGAACAAACAAAGACGATAAAAGTCAATCAAGAATTCAGAATCACAACAAGGGTTCTACTAATTTACTTTCATGGTACATTTTAGTTATTTTTAAAGCTCTCTTACATTCAACAATAAGTACATACTACTAGACATCGCTATGGGATGCCAATTGTACCATGACTATGAATTATTTGTAGAAAAGTAGAATGAGTGTTGTAATTTTTTTAAAGATATAATTGATTAACAGCTTCACATCTAGTATATTCTAGGAAGCCTGAGAGAGAGGGTTTAGATGTGAAAACACAAATTATGTAATTACTAAATCAACCCCCTCTTGTCACTCATTGAATAGTAATCCTTTCCACATCAGTTTTTGGCATGATTTTAATGACTAAAAATAAAAGTACTGTTTCATTTTCAGATTGCAATTTAAATAGCAATGCAATCATGCCAGAGATTTAATGAAAAAAAAATTCTGATATATTCTTATATGCAACCCGACCATAATGTAATGAGACTGCTGTGTCCTATCACAGATTAAGAATCCTGACAAGGTTTTCTCAAAGGCATTCCATATAGAACAAGTCCCTCTAAAACAAGATTCTTTCGGATAGTCTTGCTGAGGGGTAGTACAGTGTAGTAATTAAGAGCATAGGCTCTGGAACCTGATCATAGGAGTTCAGAAGCTATTTCTGTCATTATTCCATTTTGATCCAGTATTGCCTTTAGATTAGGCTGAAAGGGCCTGTGTTCTGAGCTCTATGTCTAGAGGGCCCCCCAAATCACAAAAACTGAAATGCAAAGTTTTTTTTTTCAGCCTCTTAACATGTTTTGAAATTTCATAAAAGGAGGGAAGACATGAAGGAAAGAGGTAAAAACCAAATTGGGTTTCACAAACCAGATAATCTCAGGCTAACAAGAAATGTGGGCAAGGATAGGTAGAGCCAGGGTGAAGAAATCAAAACTGCCGCCCCTAGGAAAATCAGATGAAATATGCTTTATACCAGGGAAACTTGTTTAAAGATGGATGACCCAAATCTTCCTAAGTGGGGCCTGAGCAGCCCAAGTTTCTCTGATAACTATACCACTTCCCATGCTATGCCCATCTGATGTAGTTTTGAGTGGTAAATAGAAAGACCTGGAAATCCTAAGATACAAAAGTGAGGTGCTGGAGAGGAGAGCCTGCTCACCACCAGTTTATCCTGGTCAGTTTCTATCCCAGGTATAGGTGGATCCAGTTGCATCCTAAAGGCAACATTGGCCAGGGCCAGACTCTGCCCCTCATCTTTCCTTGTCCCAGCAGATTTTTCACTGTACTCAGGCTGCAGAAAGCAAGTATCAATTTATGTTTGGCTTCTTAGTTTGTAAGACTGATCCCAGGGAAGAGAGCTGCTAATCCCTGCATGAGAATACAGGCCAGCCAGAGGGAGCCACTTCAATTATAAAATTTAAATATCTCGACACTTTTGACATTTTTGTCAACCAATTGTATACATCATTTTCCCTGTCTTATGACTGAGACAATTTCAGCACAGCACTTAAAATCGCCTGAACTATGTCCATATGGCCACTCCCCCCTTTTAAACAGGATTTAACTAAATATAAATGCAAATTTTATATGAATATATAGTTCATGATACACTGCTATTTTTCTTTTTCTTTTCTTTTCTTTCTTTTTCTTTTTTTAGACACAGAATACGAAGGCTACCATTTATATTCTTGCCCTCAGCCACACAAATGTTAGGAGGGAGCCCAGTGTGATCTCAGTCAAGTTACTTAACTTTTCTCTTTGCTTCACTTTTCTCATTTGTGAAACAAGTAGAATAACAATAGAACCTACCACATAGTGCTCATGTAAAGATTGTCTCATTGGCAGGGCGTGCTGGCTCACGCCTGTAATCCCAGCACTTTGGGACGCCAAGGCAGGCGGATCTTGAGGTCAGGAGATCTAGACCATCCTGGCTAACACGGTGAAACCCCGACTCTACTAGAAATACAAAAATAAAGCCTGGCGTGTTGGCAAGTGCCTGTAATCCCAGCTACTTGGGAGGCAGAGGCAGGAGAATCGCTTGAACCCAGGAGGCAGAGGTTGTAGTGAACCGAGACTGCACCACTGCACTCTAGCCTGGGCGACAGAGAGAGACTCCGTCTCAAAGTAAAATAAAATAAAATAAAATAAAATAAAATAAAATAAAATAAAATAAAATAAAATAAAATAAAAAAGATTATGTGCATTAATAGAGGTAAAGTGCTTGAACAGGGTCTGGAACCTGACAAACATTAGGTACATATTTGTTATATTTATAAGTGTGTTAAGTATTTTGTAGATTGTATCTTTTTTTTTTAATTATACTTTAAGTTTTAGGGTACATGAGCACAACGTGCAGGTTTGTTACATATGTATACATGTGCCATGTTGGTGTGCTGAACCCAGTAACTCGTCATTTAACATTAGGTATACCTCCAAATGCTATCCCTCCCCTCTCCCCCCACCCCACAACAGGCCCCGGTGAGTGATGTTCCCCTTCCTGTGTCCATGTGTTCTCATTGTTCAATTCCCACCTATGAGTGAGAACATGCGGTGTTTGGTTTTTTGTCCTTGCAATAGTTTGCTGAGAATGATGGTTTCCAGCTTCATCCATGACCCTGCAAAGGACATGAACTCATCATTTTTTATGGCTGCATAGTATTCCATGGTGTATATTTGCCACTAAATCCTTATTTTATAGTGTAGATATTGTTACTTTCTCCAATATGCATGTTAGAATGGAGGCCCAGACAGATAATCTTACTCAAAATTACACAAAATGGAATATGCAAAGCTGTAATTTGCACTGGATATATGTGAATCAAGATCTGGCTCTGTTTACGACTATGGCAGTATCAGCCTCCTACACTGGCAACCCCATGGTTAATTCTCAGATGGAATGTATTAAGTCAGTAATTTAATCATCTTAAGTCACTAATTTATAACATTGTCCATCATTTCAGAGTCACATATTTAAATTTGTAGCAAACAATATGTTAATACCTGACACTAGTGAAAAAATCAAAGGTCCCATAAGAGTTTTGACCATGCCAATCATTAGCTATGTGTTCTTGGTTAAGCTCATTCCATTTTTTCAAAGTAAATTACAGCAAAAAAATACCAATCCTTGAACTTCTGAGCTATAATGAAAATTAATGCAATTAATTATTTTAGGGTATATTTTATGCAATCCACAGGAATATGTATTTTAAAAATATAAATTAAATAAGGAAATGATTGACTCTTGGCTGGGAGCGCTGGCTCACAACTGTAATCCCAGCACTTTGAGAGGCCGAGCCTGGTGGATCACTTGAAGTCAGGAGTTCAAGACCAGCCTGGCCAATATGGTGAAACCCTGTCTCTACTAAAAATGCAAAAATTAGCCAGGTATGGTGGCGTGTGCCTATAATCTCAGCTACTTGGGAGGCTGAGGCATGAGAATCCCTTGAACCCAGGAGGCAGAGGTTGGAGTGAGCCTAGATCGTGCCACTGCACTCCAGCATGGGCAACAGAGAGAGACACTGTCTCAAAAAATAAAAAATAAAAGAAAATAAGAAAATGACCGACCCTTAAGCAGAAAACAGTCTAGAAAGAGACACAGAAATCTGTGACGGCCAGGAAGAAAGGTTTTTGTCTTTCTTAGCATTCTTACTCTTTACCTTCTCCCATCATGATCCCAGAAAAGATAAGTCGTTTGGATTGTTCAAATTTGGAAACCCTAATTGGCCTGTAGTCCTTGCTGGATAAGGTTACGTACACTGTCTCTGCACAGGATGTGGTTTTCTCTTTTATCTCTCCCTTCCTTAGAGCTAAAGATTAAAGGGCTAAAGCTCTATCAGTCTCCTATTGCTGCATAACAAAGTACCCCTAAATTTAGTGACTTAAAAAAGAAACTATTTTAGCTGGGTGTAGTGGATCACACCTGTAAACTCTGGGAGTCTGAGGCAGGTGGATTATCTGAGCTCAGGAGTTTGAGACCAGCCTGGGCAACATGGTGAAACAGTCTCTACAAAAAATACAAAAATTAGCCTGGCATGGTGGCACACACTTATAGTTCCAGCTACTTGTGGGGGCTGAGGTGGGAGAATTGCTTGAGCCCTGGAGGCAGAAGCTGCAGTGAGCCCTGTTTGCTCCATTGCACTTCAGCCTAGGTGACAGAGTAAGACCCTCTCTCAAAACAAACAAAACCCTATTTGCTCACTGTTCTTCAGGTCCACAATTTGGTCTTGACTGTGGTCCCCCTTGGGGTCACTCGTATGATTTTATCTATCTGGTGGTTTAATTGGGACTGAAGGTCTAAGGTGGCCTCATTCATAAATCTGCAGATGATTGGTGTCAGCTGTGAATTGGACCATGTATCTGTGGCAGCCCTGCCTGGGACTTTTTATATGACAACAGCATTCCAAGAGAATGAGAGCAGAAGCTGCATGTTCTTTTGAGGAATCATCTTAGAACTCCCTAATTAATCACTTTCTGCTTCATTCTATTAGTCAAAGCAGAAAATAAGACCAGTCCACATTCAGGAAATGGGAAAGAAACTTTAACTCTTGATAGCAGGGGATACAAAGAATCTGTACCCATTTTTAAGCCATCATATGTCTGTTTAATAATAATATTACAAATTGAATGTTCGTGTACCCTCAAAATGCATGTTAAAATCTAATTTCCAGTGTGAATTTATTTGGAGGTGGAGCTCTTGAGAGGTAATTAGGTCATAAGGTAAAGTCTGCATGAATGAGATTAGTGGCCTTATAAGGGGAGGGCAGAGAACTAGCTCACCATCTTTCCACCATGTGATGAGGCAAGGAGAAATCAGCTGTCCGCAACATGGAAGAGGACCCTCACTAAAACTCAACCATGCCGGCACCCTGATCTCAGGTTTCCAGCCTCAGAACTGTGAGAAATAAATTGTTTAAGCCACTCAGTCTATGGTAATTTGTTATAGCAGTCTGAACTGACTAAACCAGATAGTATCTATTGCTTTTTTTCCCTTTGTTGGCACTATATTTTCTCTCTTCCCAATATGATTTTAAAATGTAGCATGATGGCCAAGAGCTTGTGGGACTATCTCAGTTTCTCTGGACTAACTCTAGAGAATGGCTAGAGACTTCTCATCTAGATTGGTTCCCTAAAAATAGGCACACGTGTCAGGCCTCTAAGCCTCACTTTACCCTGAGATAAAATTGAAGTAAGTTACTCCTTTGTAGAGTTGAGAAACTCAGCTTTCTGAGGCTTAAAACTAATCAGGAATAGTCAAATGCATGGGAAACAGAAACACCTAACATGGGAGACAATCGCCTCCCAGTTCCCCTTTGCTCCTCTCTCCATGGACATACAGCAAAGACAATCCTTTCCTGGCCCTGCAAGTTCCTGTGTTGCAAGGAACCTAATCATTGGATATTCAGGACAGTTCCTGTTACACATTTTATTTCCAGGTGACACTATAAAAAAGCAGACAAAATAGAAAATGAAAAGCAAAGTTAAAAAGAAATGGATGCCAAAATCCTTAACATAAATAACCTGATAATCATAGTAGACATTTATTTATCTAATTAATTCAAATGTTAGTGCTATTGACTCAGTTTGGTCAATTGCTCTTTGGATATCAATCTCATAGTTAGACACCAAGGTAAAAGTTGCCTGTTATGTTCTGGGGTGGGGATTTTCATAAAAAAGTTTTTTGAATAGGATAGGTAAAACTGAATGCACAATTTACAACAGTAGATACATGAGCACAACCTGAACTAATTCTGTAGCAAAGATGCCACAATATGCCTACAAAAAATTTTACGATAGCGAGCCGAGGTATGTTCTTGCACTGCGTATGATTAGTTTCCCCTTCTAATATTTTTAAAAGTTCCTCTTTGCTTTTTTAAAAAGTTTGGGGATTTTTTAGACTTAATTTTAAAGTGGCCCTTGCTCAATATATTGACATTCAACCAGGCTTCCTTTTTCTTGAAGTATTTTGATACCAAAATCACGTCCAAAAGAGATTAGTTCTTTTTTATCTCCCAACCACACATTTCCCAATATAGTTTTAAAAGACTAGATAAAATTCCTAACAAAAAACATATTTTATATATAGATATATTTGTGTGTGTGTGTGTGTGTGTGTGTATTTCCTTTACTTGAACTATTTCAAAAACAAATATCTCATGATATTCTTTCTTTGCAGTACTGTTTTCTTGCAATTGCAATTTGGCAAACACCCTTTAAGACTCTCACCATAGAGAAAAAAGCCACTCCAGGCTTGTCAGGTCAACTTCAGTGAGACAAATGACCATTTCATTTAACACCTGCAATGCTTTCTGCTAAAAGAAAAATGTGCTTTTTATTTTGTTTCTGACATAAACAGCCCCAAAACAACAGAAAGAATAATTTAAGGTCAGTATAAGCCATCTTTGGCATACTGCTGGATCTACTCCACATTTTGAAGGATGACTTAAGTGTAGAAAGTAAAAATTAATAATCAAAGCTCGGAGGTACTCCTGTCCAGAAGAACACCCAAAATGCAGCAGTGTCATTTATTTAAAGCTCTGTGTTAGCTTTATTGAGGGTGTCACCAAATTTCTTATGTTAAATTACCTGAGGCTGAGACGGTGAGTCGGGAGGGGATAACAAGCCTTCTAAAATGTGAATTATAAGTATAAATAAAGGAATTGGAAACCATTTTTAATTAAAAAAAAAAGTCAACTATATCCTTGGACTAGTGACATAATTATTTCTCCTATTCATTTCTCTTGAGTTTGTAAGAAAATGTACTGATTTCAAACTTGAATTTCTCCTTCCCTCAATCAGATATCCTGTAGTGTTTTCTCTGTACCTTCTATTATTAGTTTATCAGACATTAATGATTTATAACCCGAATTAGGACAATATTCTTCTAACTTGTCTTCCTGCTTTCAAGCCATAATCTTTCTAATCCCTACACAGTGTTGCAGAGTTATCTTTATGGGAAAAAAAAGTATTATGCTGACCCACCACTTAAAATTATTTACTATTTTCTCATTTCTTCAGAAAAGATACAGACTTTTGAGCCTAGAATAGGAAAACCATAATTATATGGTCTTGACCTTTTTTGTCTCATCTCTACTCCACAGCCAAAATCATTACATGCTCTCAGTGGTAGATTGAACTGATATACCCAATTTCCCATACTTTCATGCACCAATGCATTTGACAAAGCTCTCCCACACTAACTTTGGACTTAGCTGTATGACTTTCTTTGACCAATGGGACAAAAACAAATGATGGAAGGAGAGGCTTAAAAAGGAGTTTGCACATCTCTTCTTCCATTCTTAAACTCTGAGGCAAATGCTCAGGTCTACCCTATAGGAGGCTGAAAACATAAAGACTTTTGTCCTAGGAAGAGTATCCTATATCAGTTTAAAGCAAGAAAACCACAAAATCTGTTAATGTGTCCCAAACTGAGACCAGGAGAAGTGCACAGACAAGCCATACCAAAATCACTTATGGATTTCTGAGCATTAATAAATCATTATCACTAAACAATTTGAGTTTGACATGAAGTGTTATTGAAGTAGGAGCTCATTGACACAGAAATTGTCATTGGACATACAGTGCTTTCATAACAAAAACCAATACTATGTTGCATTGGCTTTTGAAGCAGACATTGAACAAAGACTAGAAAAGCACTGAGGAAGCTGCTAAAAATGTTGTATTGTGGTAAAACAATTGGGATAATTGTCACCTACAGTGAGTTAGATGATATAAAAAGCATCTGACAAAATTATGAAATTGAACAACAAGTTTTTCAGGCAGAAAGTGGAAAGTGTCATTTGGCTTTTTAAAGTTGTATGTGAGACAGAAGGGTCAACAGTTTCTGGGTCGTACCATAAAGCTGTTTCTCATCTTCAAATTCTCCATTGGGAAAATATTTCTCAAAGTAAAATACTTGGAGTCAAAGGTCAAATCAAGAGTGACACACCAAACTAGTCAAAAAGACTTCTTAGAATACTAAAGGCATCATCCCACCCAAATATTAATGACTAAGTCTAGAGAGGAGACATGTCTCCAAAAACAAGTCTTGATGTGACACTCTAAGCATGGAAAGGAATCATATCCAACTCACAGGAAACCTATGCAAATTTTGGAATAGCAATATTGGTGAAAATGCCGTTAGCCTTGAGTAAAATAAGTCTATATATTTCAAAATATACAAAGGTTTTGGAATCCACACCTTAATATGAGTAAGAAGCAGCCTGAGAAAGTAGCCAAAAAGATGTATTTTCTAATGACCTTTAAAGAAGTGAAAAAATATGGGTAATGAATGAGTGTGGAGGGATGAGCTGTGAGGAACATTGGACTAGATAGCTCACTCCCATGGAAGAGTAAAGAATAACGGTCTAGGGAGCCACTTCAAACCCCCTCTGAAATCTAGGGTAGTGAAAATTTGCAAAATGGTTCTAACTGGATGCTAGAATCTTTTCTTTAACTCATACTCTAAGTTCTGGGATCCATGTGCAGAACTTGCAGGTTTGTTACATAGGTATGCATTTTCCATGGTGGTTTGCTGTACCCATCAACCTGTCATCTAGGTTTTAAGCCCAGCATGCATTAAGTATTTCTCTTAATGCTATCACTCCCCTTGCCCCCAACCCACTGACAGGCCCCGGGGTGTGACGTTTCCCTCCCTGTGTCCATGTGTTCTCACGTTCAACTCCCGCTTATGAATGAGAACATGCAATGTTTGGTTTTCTGTTCCTGTGATAGTTTGCTGAGAATGATCAGAACCTTTATTAAAGATTGTGTGCCTCCCAACCTTCTACTTTTTAAGTGGAATGGCCTGTTGCAGATTATTTTGTCTTTCTTTCATTATCTTATGAGTGTGTGAAGAGTTGGGAGGATAGTTAACTTGTCTTTTTAGTTTATAGATCCTTGGATAAAGAGAAGCTATATCTGGACTTCGTTTAAATCATGAGTTCCTAAACTCTAAGTCCAGTGCAATGATCAATGATCATATGGATCATTGAAGGGGAAGAGGATAGCAATAAAAGCTATTAAGCACATGGAAGAGATATAATAACTGTGGCCAGAAGAAAGATTATGGAAAAGTGATTTGGTTAGGGTCCAATCTTTCATGTATTCCTCCATTTATGTCTTTTGTATTGCCATCCTACCTGAACTTTGGGCTTGACCCCATGAGTTGTTTTGGCCAATAGACCACTAGCAAACTAGTGACGAACCTATGACTAAAATCTCCTTGATGTTTATGCTTCCTCTACTCTTGGCTTCCAATTAGAATATGCTCAAGCTTGCCAGATAGAGGTTGAGATATATGGAACAGAGATAGTCAACCAAGTTGAGAATATCCCAAATTAGCCCAACACATTTTAAGACCATATAAATACCCCCAAGTAATATCATTGATTATTGCTTGGTCAAAGCCCATTCAACCTGTAAACTTAGGTCAATAGTAACAAATGGGTGTTTTAAGCCACTGAGTTGCCTGTTGGTTGTTATGAAGCATTGTTGGAATAGCCAACTGAAACACTCTCTCAAAATTGATTTTCCTCCAGCCTTCACATCATTATCATATGTTACCTAAGCTAGTAATCCCCAAATTATCTTTACGACTATACACTCTCTCCTCTCCAGCCCCCTCATACGTACAAAATCAGTCATGAGTAGTGTCAACTGAATTCTATCTTTACAATATTTTTGAACTATTTTACTCCACCCACTGTCATTATTATAATTTATAATGTTATTATATTTAACTTATTTCTTGGTAACATTCATTTAATATATACTCCCTGTCTCCTACCTTTTATCATTAATATACCAAGGAGAATGCCCTAAAACATAGATATTTTATTATGTCACTCTCAGGCTTTAATGCCTCTGGCCAAGCTTATAACTTGGCTTGCCATTGGAAAGTCTTTTACAATTTACCTTAATCTATTGTGCAACTTCACTTTCAGACATACTCAATCTTCCTCTATTCTCTAGCATTTTCAAATTACTGTCTGCTTCCCAAATACACATGCCTCTTTTTTTCTGTACCTATATCTACCTCAAGCTAGAACTACATTGTTCAATAAAGTAGCCATTAAGTACTTGTGGCTATTTAAACTTAAATAAATTGAAATTAAATCTAACTTAAAATTCCCTTCCTTATTCACACTACCCATATATCAAATGTTCAATAGCCACATGTAACTAGTGGCTACCCTATTGGGTAGCACAGCTTATGGAACATTTCCGTCATCGCTGAAAATTCTGTAGCTGATCTAGAATATTTTCTTCCTCATACTGATGGTGGTTCTATTGGGCTAGGTAGAGAGCTGCAGAGTCCAAGCTGTGTGGGCATTATTTCATGTTCATGCCATTATTTCCATTGCTAAAATATAGATAAAAATAGAAAATATTAAGGATCATGAGGCTCAGATTGATCCTTTTGCTAGGCTTCAAAATGATTAATGAGAAATGAATTATATGGAAGTACACAGGAGGTAACTAATGGGTTTTATGTTATGTGACTCTTTGAATTGGGGTTTAGAGTAATTCAATAGAATCTTAGTACTACTAGTTTTCTCTATTATCTAATTATCTTTCAGGGAATCCTAATAAGCTCTAGTTACTGTTGTGGTCATTTACTGTTGCGATCAATATCCAATGTCATTAGGCCTCCCAAAACTATCATATCCAACTCTTATCCTATCTAGAATTAATTATTATTTATGTAACTATGGTCCTATTTTGTTTCATATATTGTATTAAGATTATATATTGGTTGAATTCAATGGAATTTGAAGGAAGTCAAAAATTATTTACTAGTCCTAATGACGTTCTACAGAACAAAAGTGGATTAAAAATAACAGAAACAATGCTTGATTTTAGACACACACACACACACACACACACACACAGTGGTCATAAAAATATGTAAACTTTCAGTAACAGTTTGCTGACTCTAAATGAGAAGGATTTCAGTTGAGATGTTCTTCAGAAAAATGTTACATTTTAAAAGATGTTATATTCAAAGGCATCGCTTATTTTATATGGATGAATGTTGTTAAAGGATTTCAGCAACCTAGAGAACTTAGGGATATTCTGTAAGTAGAAAAGTCTTTGCAGAAGCCTTCCAATCACAATATATGAAGTCCACCTGCTAGGATGAAAAGAGATATCAAAATCAACTTTGACATGGCCTTATCCTTTCAATCATGCAACACAGGCCTCAAAATATGCAAATCAAAAATTCCATTTAAGGAATTTCTAAAACTATAGATATCTTTCAATTCCTTTACTATTCCCAATGGACTTTGTTTATCCATACAATAAACATTTCTACTGTGGCTACACTTTAAAAAGAAAAGTAAACCAATGGAATTTATTACATCTCATTATGTGCTGTAGAAGCACTCATTCATCACTTGCTAAAATAAAGACATTCATAGTTAGGTAGCTTTTAAGAAATATCAAAGAACGGGGTTACAGACGGCACCTGGAAAATTGGGTAACTCCCACCCTAATACTGCGCTTTTCCAACAGTCTTAGCAAACAGCACACCAGGAGATTATATCCCGTGCCTGGCTCAGAGGGTCCTACGCCCATGGAACCTCGCTCATTGCTAGCACAGCAGTCTGAGATCAAACTGCAAGGCTGCAGCGAGGCTGGGGGAGGGGCACCCGCCATTGCCAAGGCTTGAGTAGGTAAATAAAGCAGCCAGGAAGCTCGAACTGGGTGGAGCCCACCGCAGCTCAAGGTGGCCTGCCTGCCTCTGTAGACTCCACCTCTGGGGGCAGGGCATTGTCAAACAAAAGGCAGCAGAATCCTCTGCAGAATTAAATGTCTCTGTCTGACAGCTTTCAAGAGAGTAGTGGTTCTCCCAACATGCAGCTGGAGATCTGAGAATGGACAGACTGCCTCCTCAAGTGGGTCCCTGACCTGCGAGTAGCCTAGGGGAGGCACCCCCCAGTAGGGGCAGACTGACACCTCACACGGCTGGGTACTCCTCTGAGACAAAACTTTCAGAGGAATGATCAGACAGCAACAGTTGCTGTTCACCAATATCTGCTGTTCTGCAGCCTCCACTGCTGATACCCAGGCAAACAGGGTCTGGAGTGGACCTCCAGCAAACTCCAACAGACCTGCAGCTGAGGATCCTTACTATTCGAAGGAAAACTAACAAACAGAAAGGACATCCCCATCTGTACATCACCATCATCGAAGACCAAAGGTAGATAAAACCACAAAGATAGGGAAAAAACAGAGCAGAAAAACTGGAAACTCTAAAAATCAGAGTGCCTCTCCTCCTCCAAAGGAATGCAGCTTCTCACCAGCAATGGAACAAAGCTGGATGGAGAACGACTTTGACGAGATGAGAGAAGAAGGCTTCAGACGATCAAACTACTCTGAGCTAAAGGAGGAAGTTCGAACCCATGGCAAAGAAGTTAAAAACCTTGAAAAAAAATTAGACAAATGGCTAACTAGAATAATCAATGCAGAGAAGTCCTTAAAGGACCTGATGGAGCTGAAAACCATGGCATGTGAACTACGTGACGAATGCACAAGCCTCAGTAGCCAATTCAATCAACTGGAACAAAGGGTATGAGTGATGGAAGATCAAATGAATGAAATGAAGTGAGAAGAGAAGTTTAGAGAAAAAAGAACAAAAAGAAATGAACAAAGCCTCCAAGAAATATGGGACTATGTGAAAACACCAAATCTATGTCTGATTGGTGTACCTGAAAGTGATGGGGAGAATGGAACCAAGTTGGAAAACACTCTGCAGGATGTTACACAGGAGAACTTCCCCAATCTAGCAAGGCAGGCCAATGTTCAAATTCAGGAAATACAGAAAATGCCACAAAGATACTCCTCAAGAAGAGCAACTCCAAGACACATAATTGTCAGATTCACCAAAGTTGAAATGAAGGAAAAAATGTTAAGAGCAGCCAGAGAGAAAGGTCGGTTACCCACAAAGGGAAGCCCATCAGACTAACAGTGGATCTGTCAGCAGAAACTCTACAAGCCAGAAGAGAATGGGGGCCAATATTCAACATTCTTAAAGAAAAGAATTTTCAACCCAGAATTTCATATCCAGCCAAACTAAGCTTCATAAGTGAAGGAGAAATAAAATACTTTACAGACAAGCAAATGCTGAGAGTTTTTGTCACCACCAGGCCTGCCCTAAAAGAGCTCCTGAAGGAAGCACTAAACATGGCAAGGAACAACCGGTACCAGCCACTGCAAAAACATGACAAATTGTAAAGACCATTGATTCTAGGAAGAAACTGCATCAACTAATGAGCAAAATAACCAGCTAACATCATAATGACAGGATCAAATTCACACATAACAATATTAATTTTAAATGTAAATGGGCTAAATGCTCCAATTAAAAAACACAGACTGGCAAATTGGATAAAGAGTCAAGACCCATCAGTGTGCTGTATTCAGGAAACCCATCTCATGTGCAGAGACACACATAGGCGCAAAATAAAGGGATAGAGGAAGATCTACCAAGCAAATGGAAAACAAAAAAAGGCAAGGGTTGCAATCCTAGCCTCTGATAAAACAGACTTTAAACCAACAAAGATCAAAAGAGACAAAGAAGTCATCGCATAATGGTAAAGTGATCAATTCAACAAGAAGAGCTAACTATCCTAAATATATATGCACCCAATACAGGAGCACCCAGATTCATAAAGCAAGTCCTTAGAGACCTAGAAAGAGACTTAGACTCCCACACAATAATAATGGGAGACTTTAACACCCCACTGTTAACATTAGACAGATCAACGAGACAGAAAGTTAACAAGGATATCCAGGAAATGAACTCAGCTCTGCACCAAGCAGACCTAATAGATATCTACAGAACTCTCCACCCCAAATCAACAGAATATACATTCTTCTCAGCACCACACCACACTTACTCCAAAATTGACCACATAGTTGGAAGTAAAGTACTCCTCAGCAAATGTAAAAGAACAGAAATTATAACAAACTGTCTCTCAGACCACAGTGCAATCAAACTGGAACTCAGGATTAAGTAACTCACTCAAAACCACTCAACTACATGGAAACTGAACAACCCGCTCCTGAATGACTACTGAGTGCATAATGAAAGGAAGGCAGAAATAAAGATTTTCTTTGAAATCAATGAGAACTAAGACACAACATACCAGAATCTCTGGGACACATTCAGAGCAGTGTGTAGAGGGAAATTTATAGCACTAAATGCCCACAAGAGAAAGCAGGAAAGATCCAAAATTGACACCCTAACATCACAATTAAAAGAACTAGAGAAGCAAGAGCAAGCACATTCAAAAGCTAGCAGAAAGCAACAAAGAACTAAGATCAGAGCAGAACTGAAGGAAATAGAGACACAAAAAACCCTTCAAAAAATCAATGAAACCAGGAGCTGATTTTTTGAAAAGATCAACAAAATTGATAGACTGCTAGCAAGACTAATAAAGAAGAAAAGAGAGAAGAATCAAATAGATGCAATAAAAAATGATAAAGGGGATATCACTACTGATCCCACAGAAATACAAACTACCATCAGAGAATATTATAAACACCTCTACTCAAATAAATTAGAAGATCTAGAAGAAATGGATAAATTCCTCGACACATACACCCTCCCAAGACTAAACCAGGAAGAAGTTGAATCTCTGAATAGACCAATAACAGGCTCTGAAATTGAGGCAATAATTAATAGCTTACCAACCAAACAAAGTCCAGGGCCAGAGAGATTCACAGCCAAATTCTACCACAGGTACAAAGAGGAGCTGGTACCATTCCTTCTGAAACTAATCCAATCAATAGAAAAAGAGGAAATCCGCCCTCTCCCTCTCCCTCTCCCTCTCCCCTCTTCTTTCTTTCTTTGGTCTCCCTCTGTTGCCGAGGCTGGACTGTACTGCTGTGATCTCGGCTCACTGCAGCCCCCCTGTCCCAGGCTCCCATGTTTCTCCTGCCTCGGCCTGCCGAGTGCTTGGGATTGCCAGCGCATGCCACCACACCTGATTGGTTTTTGGATTTTTGGAGGAGACGGGGTTTCGCCCTGTTGACCGGGCTGGTCTCCAGCTCCTGACCTCAAGTGGTCTGCCCGCCTCGGCCTCCGGGGGGTGCTGGGATTGCAGATGGAGTCTCGCTCACTCAATGCTCAGTGTCGCGCAGGCTGGAGGGCTGGAGTGCAGTGGCGTGATCTCAGTTCACTGCAACCTCCACCTTCCAGCTGCCTGCCTTGGCCTCCCAAAGTGCTAAGATTACAGCCTCTGCCCAGCTGCCACCCTGTCTGGGAAGTAGGGAGCGTCTATGCCTGGCCGCCCATTGTCTGGGATGTGGGGAGCCCCTCTGCCCGGCCGCCCCGTCTGGGAGGTGAGGAGTGCCTCTGCCTGGCCGCCCCATCTGGGAAGTGAGGAGCGCCTCTGCCTGGCCACCACCCCGTCTGGGATGTGAGGAGCACCTCTACCTGGCCGCCCCATCTGAGAAGCAAGGAGCGCCTCTGCCCGGCCGCCCCGTCTGGGAAGTGAGGAGCGTCTCTGCCTGGCCGCCCATCGTCTGGGATGTGAGGAGCGCCTCTGCCCAGCTGCCACCCTGTCTGGGAAGTGAGGAGTGCCTCTGCCTGGCTGCCCCATCTGGGATGTGAGGAGCGCCTCTGCCTGGCCACCCCATCTGGGAAGTGAGGAGCGCCTCTGTCTGGCCACCCCGTCTGGGAAGTGAGGAGTGCCTCTGCCTGGCCGCCACCCCATCGGGGATGTGAGGAGCACCTCTGCCCAGCCGCTCCATCTGGGAAGCGAGGAGTGCCCCTACCTGGCCACCCCGTCTGGGATGTGAGGAGTGCCTCTGCCCAGCCACCCCGTCTGGGAAGCGAGGAGCGCCTCTACCTGGCCACCCCGTCTGGGATGTGAGGAGCGCCTCTGCCCGGCCGCCCCGTCTGGGAAGCGAGGAGTGCCTCTGCCTGGCTGCCCTGTCTGGGAAGTGAGGAGCGCCTCTGCCCAGTTGCCACCCCGTCTGGGAAGTGAGGAGTGTCTCTGCCTGGCTGCCCATCGTCTGGGATGTGAGGAACGCCTCTGCCCGGCCGCCACCCCGTCTGGGAAGTGAGGAGCATCTCTGCCCGGCTGCCCATCATCTGGGATGTGAGGAGCATCTCTGCCCAGCTGCCCACAGTCTGGGAAGTGAGGAGTGCCTCTGCCAGGCCTCCCCGTCTGGGAAGTGTACCCAACAGCTCCAAAGAGACAGTGACCATTGAGAAGGGGCCATGATGACGATGGTGGTTTTGTCAAAAAGAAAAGGGGGAAATGTGGGGAAAAGAAAGAGAGATCAGATTGTTACTGTGTCTGTGTAGAAACAAGTAGACATAGGAGACACCATTTTGTTCTATACTAAGAAAAATTCTTCTGCCTTGGGATGCTGTTAATCTATAACCTTACCCCCAGCCCCATGCTCTCTGAAACATGTGCTGTGTCAACTCAGGGTTAAATGGATTAAGGGCGGTGCAAGATGTGCTTTGTTAAACAGATGCTTGAAGGCAGCATGCTTGTTAAGAGTCATCACCACTCCCTAACCTCAAGTACCCAGGGACACAAACAGGGCCGAAGGCCGCAGGGACCTCTGCCTAGGAAAACCAGAGACCTTTGTTCTCGTGTTTATCTGCTGACCTTCTCTCCACTATTATCCTATGACCCTGCCACATCCCCCTCTCTGAGAAAAACCCAAGAATGATCAATAAATACTAAAAAAAAAAAAAAAGAAAAAAGAAAAAGAGGAAATCCTCCCTAACTCATTTTATGAGGCCAGCATCATCCTGATACCAAAGCCTGGCAGAGAAAAACAAAAAGAGAGAATTTTAGACTAATACCCCTGATGAACATCAATGCAAAAATCCTGAATAAAATACTGGCAAACGAAATCCAGCAGCACATCAAAAAGCTTATCCACCATGATCAAGTGGGCTTCATCCCTGGGATGCAAGGCTGGTTCAACATACACAAAGCAATAAACACAATCCAGCATATAAACAGAACCAACAACAAAAACCATATGATTATCTCAATAGATGCAGACTTTTCTGCCTCTATTCTGCCTTTGACAAAATTCAACAACCCTTCATGCTAAAAACTCTCAATAAATTAGGTATTGATGGGATGTATCTCAAAATAATAAGCGCTATCTATGACAAACCAACAGCCAATATCATACTGAATGGGCAAAAACTGGAAGCATTCCCTTTGAAAACAGGCACAAGACAGGGATGCCCTCTCTCACCATTCCTATTCAACATAGTGTTGGAAGTTCTGGCCAGGGCAATCAGGCATGAGAAGGAAATAAAGGGTATTCAATTAGGAAAAGAGGAAGTCAAATTGTCCCTGTTTGCAGATGACATGATTTTATATCTATAAAACTCCATTGTCTCAGCCCAAAATCTCCTTAAGCTGATAGGCAACTTCAGCAAAGTCTCACGATACAAAATCAATGTGCCAAAATCAAAAGCATTCTTATACACCAATAACAGACAGAGAGCCAAATCATGAGTGAACTCCCATTCACAATTGCTTCAAAGAGAATAAAATACCTAGGAATCCAACTTACAAGGGATGTGAAGGACCTCTTCAAGGAGAACTACAAACCACTGCTCAATGAAATAAAAGAGGATACAAACAAATGGAAGAACATTCCATGCTCATGGATGGGAAGAATCAATATCGTGAAAATGGCCATACTGCCCAAGGTTATTTGTACATTCAATGCCATCCCCATCAAGCTACCAATGACTTTCTTCACAGAATTGGAAAAAACTACTTTAAAGTTCATATGGAACCAAAAAAGAGCCTGCATTGCCAAGTCAATCCTAAGCCAAAAGAACAAAGCTGGAGACATCACGCTACCTGATTTCAAACTATACTACAAGGCTACAGTAACCAAAACAGCATGGTACTGGTACCAAAACAGAGATATAGACCAATGGAACAGAACAGAACCCTCAGAAATAATGCCACATACCTACAACTATCTGATCTTTGACAAACCTTACAAAAACAAGCAGTGGGGAAAGAATTCCCTATTTAATAAATGGTGCTGGGAAAACTGGCTAGCCATATGTAGAAAGCTGAAACTGGATCCCTTCCTTAAACCTTATACAAAAATTAATTCAAGATGGATTAAAGACTTAAATGTTAGACCTAAAACCATAAAAACCCTAGAAGAAAATCTAGGCAATACCATTCAGGACATAGGCATGGGCAGGAACTTCATGTCTAAAACACCAAAAGCAACGGCAACAAAAGCCAAAATTGACAAATGGGATCTAATTAAACTAAAGAGCTTCTGCACAGCAAAAGAAACTACCCTCAGAGTGAACAGGCAACCTACAGAATGGGAGAAAAATTTTGCAGTCTACTCATCTGACAAAGGACTAATATGCAGAATCTACAATGAACTCAAACAAATTTACAAGAAAAAAACAAACAACCCCATCAAAAAGTGGGTGAAGGATATGAACAGACACTTCTCAAAAGAAGATATTTAGGCAGCCAAAAGACACATGAAAAAATGCTCATCATCACTGGCCATCAGAGAAATGCAAATCAAAACCACAATGAGATACCATCTCACACCAGTTAGAATGGCAATCATTAAAAAGTCAGGAAACAACAGGTGCTGGAGAGGATGTGGAGAAATAGGAACAATTTTACACTGTTGGTGGGAGTGTAAACTAGTTCAACCATTGTGCAAATCAGTGTGGTGATTCCTCAGGGACCTAGATCTAGAAATACCATTTGACCCAGCAATCCCATTGCTGGTTATATACCCAAACGATTATAGATCATGCTGCTATAAAGACATATGCACACATATGTTTATTGTGGCACTATTCACAATAGCAAAGGCTTGGAACCAAGCCAAATGTCCAACAATGATAGACTGGATTAAGAAAATGTGGCACATATACACCATGGAATACTATGCAGCCATAAAAAAGGATGAGTTCATGACCTTTGTAGGGACATGGATGAAGCTGGAAACCATCATTCTCAGCAAACTATTGCAAGGACAGAAAACCAAACACCACATGTTCTCACTCATAGGTGGGAGTTGAACAAGGAAAACACACAGACATGGGAAGGGGAACATCACACACCGGGTCCTATTGTGGGGTGGGGGGAGGGGGGAGGGATAGTATTTGGAGATATACCTAATGTTTAATGACCAGTTACTGGGTGCAGCACACCAACATGGCACATGTATACATATGTAACTAACCTGCAGGTTGTGCACATGTACCCTAAAACTTAAAGTATAATTTAAAAAAAAAAAAGAAATATAATCAATAAAATTAGTAATGAGAGTAGCAATCAGTTGGCAATATTCTGGGAGGAAAACCAAGTGCTCTATTTAACAACAACAAAATATCAGAAAAAATTCACCAATGAAAGAGACTTACATTATAAACACACACACTCACTAAAAATTCCAAACAGTGGTACTTTAGTACATGCTATCTCTGGGTTTGCTTTTTTAATTATACTCTTTACCTAAACCTATGCATAGCAGTTTTTTCCTGAAATCTCACTCTTTTTCCTATGTATCCTATATTTGGCATTCAAAATCATAGTTATATTTGGAGACATCTAATTTCTTGTACAATAGTCTATGTTATTTAAAGAAAGGGCATATCTTTTTAAATTCTTTTTTAATATTTGTGGGTACATAGTACGTATATATAGTTACAGGGTACATAACATATTTTGTTATAGGCATGTAATATATAATAATCACATCATGAAATGTTTGATGGGTATCCATCCAATCAAACATTTATCTTTTGTCTTAGACACAATCCAATTATACTTTTAGTTATTTTTATTTTTTTTTATTTTTTTTTTTTCTTTTTTTTTTTTTTATTATACTCTCAGTTTTAGGGTACATGTGCACATTGTGCAGGTTAGTTATTTTTAAATGTGCAATTAAATTATAATTGACTATAGTCACCCTCTTGTGCTATCAAATACTAGGTCTTATTCATTCTAATTATCTTGTACGATAACCATCCCTATCTCCCCCTACCCACAAAACTATACTACCCTACCATACTTCTATTCTCTATCTTCATAAATACAATTGTTTTGACTTTTAGATTCCAGAAATAAGTGATAACATATGATGTTTATCTTCTTGTGCCTGGCTTATTTTACTTAACATAATAAACTTTAGTTCCATCTATATTGTTGCAAATGACAGAATTTCTTTCTTATGGCTGAATAGAACTCTGCTGTGTATATGTACCACATTTTATTTATCCATTCATCTGTTAAAGGACACTTATGTTGCTTCGAAATCTTGGCTATGAATGCAGGTATCTCTTTGATATATTGATTTCCTTTCTTTGGATATATGCCCAGTAGTGGGATTGCTGTATCATAAGATAGCTTTATTTTTAGTTTTTGAGGAACCTCCAAACTGTTCTCAATTGTGGTTATATTAATTTACATTCCCGTCAACAGTGTACAAGGGTTCCCTTTTCTCCACATCCTCACCAGCATTTGTTATTGCCTGACTTTTGGATAAAAGCCATTTTAACTACAGTGAGATGCTATCTCATGGTAACTTTGATTTGCATTTCTCTGATGATCAACAATGTTGAGCAGTATTTCATATACTTGTTTTCCATTTGTGTGTCTTCTTTTGAGAAATACCTATTTAAATATTTTGCCCATTTTTTGATCAGATTATTCGAATTTTTGCTAGAGTTGTTTGGGCTTCTTATGTATTCTAGTGATTCATCCCTTGTTCAGATGGGTAGTTTGCAAATATTTTCTCCCATTCTGTGGGTTGTCTCTTCATTTTGTTGATTGTTTCCTTTGCTGTGTAGAAGCTTTTCATTTTGATGTGATCCCATTTGTCCATTTTTGCTTTGGTTGCATGGGCTTATGGGCTATTATTACTCAAGAAATTTTTGCCAGGACCAATGTCCTAGAGAGTTTCCCCAGTATGTTTCTTGTGTTAGTTTCATATTTTGAGGTCTTTGATTTAAGTATGTAATCTATTTTGATTTGATTTTTGTATAAGGTGAGAGATAGTGGTGAATTTTACTTCTGCATATGGATATCCAGTTTTTCCAGGACTATTTATTAAAGAGACTGTCTAACACTCAATGTGTGATCTTGGCATCTTTGTAGAAAATAAGTTCATTGTAGGAGTGTCAATTTATTTCTGGGTTCTCTATTCTGCTACATTGGTCTATGTGTCTGTGTGTGTCTGCTTTATGCCATACCATGATGTTTAGTTACTATATCTCTGCAGTATAATTTGAAGTCAGGTAAAGAGATTCCTCCAGTTTTGATCTTTTTGCTTAAGAAAGCTTTGCTTAATCTGGGTCTTTTGTGGTTCTATGTAAATTTTAGAAGTTTTTTCTTTATTTCTTTGAGGAATGTCAGTATTTTGATAGGGATTGCATTAAATCTGTAGATTGCTTTGAGAAGTATGGACATTTTAACATTATTGAAAATAGAATATCTTTCCATTTTTTGTGCCCTTTTTAGTTTCTTTCACCAGTGTTTTCTAGTTTTGTTTGTAGAGATCTTTTACTTCTTTGGTTAAGTTAATTACCAGGTAATTGCTTTTGTCTGTGGTTATTGTAAATGGGATTACTTTTTGATTTCTTTTTCAGATTGTTAACTGTTGGCATAAGAAATGCTACTAATTTTTGTATGTTGATTTTGTATCTTACAACTTTACTGAATTTTTTATCAGTTTTTATATTTTTTGGTGGCATCGTTAGGTTTTTCCATATATAAGATTACATCACCTGCAAACAAGGATAACTTGACTTCCAATTATTTATTTCTCTTGTCTGATTGCTCTAGCTAAGACTTCTGGGACTATATTGAATAACAGTGGTAAAAATGGGCATTCTTGTAGTGTTCTAGATCTTACAGGAAAGGCTTTCATTTTTTCCCTGTTCAGTGTGATATTACCTGTGGGTCTGTCAATATATGGTAATACGGTTTGGCTATGTCCCCACCCCAAACTCATCTTAAATTGTAGCTCCTACAATTCCCAACTGTTGTGGGAGGGACCTGGAGGGAGGTAATTGAATCATGGAGGTGTGTCTTTCCCATGCTATTCTTTGATAATGAGTAAGTCTTATGAGATCTGATGGTTTTATAAAGGGGAGTATCCCTGCGCAAGTTTTCTTCTCTTATCTGCTGCCATGAAAGACATGACTTTTGCCTTCCACCATGATTGGGAGGTCTCCCCAGTTACGTGGGACTCTGAGTCCATTAAATCTCTTTCTTTTGTAAATTGCCCAGTCTTGGGTATGTGTTTATCAGCAGCATGAAAATTGAGTAATACAGTAAATTGGTACCAGTGAAGTGGGGCGTTGCTGAAAAGATATCAGAAAATGTGGAAGTGACTTTAGAACTGGGTCACATGCAGAGGTTGAAACAGTTTGGAGGGCTCAGAAGAAGACAGGAAAATGTGGGGATGTTTGGAACTCCCTAGAGACTTGTTGAATGGCCTTGGCCAAAATGCTAACAATAATATGGACAATGAAATCCAGGCTGAGGTGGTGTCAGATAGAGATGAGGAACTTGTTGAGAACTGGAGCAAAGGTGACTCTGGTTATGTTTTAGCAAAGAGAGTGGTGGCATTTTGCCCCTGCCCTAGAGATCTGTGGAACTTTGAACTTGAGAGAAATGATATAGGGTATCTGACGGAAGAAATTTTTAAGCAGCAAAGCATTCAAGAGGTGACTTGAGTGCTGTTAGAAGCATTCAGTTCTAAAAGGGAAACAGAGCATAAAAGCTCAGAAAATTTGCAGCCTGACAATGTAATAGAAAAGAAAATCCCATTTTTTGAAGAGAAAGTCAAGCCTGCTGCAGAAATTTGCATAAGTAAGGAGGAGCTGAATATTAATCACCAAGACAATGGGTAAAATGTCTCCAGGACACATCATAGACCTTCACAGGAGCCCCTCGCATCACAGGCCTGGAGGCCTAGGAAGAAAAAATGATTTCATGGGCTGGGCCCAGGGTCCTTCTGCTGCAGTCTAGGGACTTGGTGCCCTGCATCCCAGCCACTCCAGCCGTGACTAAAAGGGGCCAAGGTACAGCTTGGGTCATGACTTCAGAGGGTGCAAGGCCCAATCCTTGGCAGCTTCCATGTGGTGTTGAGCCTGCAAGTGCACAGAGTCAAGAATTGATTAGGAACCTCTGCCTGGATTTCAGAGGATATATGAAAATGCCTGTATGTCCAGGCAGAAGTTTATTTCAGGGGAAGGGTGCTCATAGAGAACTTCTGCTAAGGCAGCGTGGAAAGGAAATGTGAGGTGGGTGCCCCCACACAGAATTCCCACTGGGACATTGCCTAGTGGAGCTGTGAGAAGAGGGTCACTGTCTTCCAGATCCTAGCATGGTAGATCCACCAACAGCTTGCACCATGCACCTGGAAAAGCTGCAGATACACAATACCAGCCCATAAAAGCAGCTGAGACAGAAGCTATACCCTGCAAAGCCACAGGGTTAGAGCTGCCCAAGACCATGGGAACCCACCTCTTGCATCAGCATGACCTGGATGTGAGACATGGAGTCAAAGGAGATCATTTTTTGGAACTTTAAGATTTGACTGCCCTGCTGGATTTTGAACTTGCATGGAGCCTTGTAGCCCCTTCATTTTGGCCAATTTCTCCCATTTAGAATGGGTGTATTTATCCAATGCCTGTACCCCCATTGTATCTAGGAAGTAACTAACTTGCTTTTGGTTTTACAGGCTCATAGGCAGAAGGGACTTTCCTTGTCTCAAATGAGACTTTGGACTGTGGACTTTTGAATTAATGCTGAAATGAGTTGAGACTTAGGGGACTGTGGGGAAGGCATGATTGGTTTTGAAATGTAAGGCCTTGAGATTTGGGAGCAGCCAAAGTGGAATGATATGGATTGGCCGTGTCCTCACCAAAAATATCATCTTGAATAGTAGCTCCCACAATGCCCATGTGTTGTGGGAGGGACACGATGGGATGTAATTGAATCATAGGGGCAGGACTTTCCCATGCTATACTCATGATAGTGAATATGTCTCATGCGATCCAATGGGTTTATAAAGTGAAGTTTCCCTGCACAAGTTCTCTTTTCTTGTCTGCCACCATGTGAGACATGCTTTTGCCCTCCACCATGATTGTGAGGCTCCCTCCAGCCACATGGAACCATGAGTACATTAAACCTATTTATTTTGTAAATTGCCTAGTCTCAGATACGACTTTATCAGCAGCATGGAAACAAACTAATACATATGACTTTTATTATATTGAGATGTGTTCCTTCTGTATCCAGTTTTTCATCATGAAGGGATGCTGAACTTTATCAAATGCCTTCTCAGTACCAATTAAAATGGTTATATGCTTTTTGTCCTGCAGTCTGTTGATATTGTGTATCACATTTTTTGATCTGTGAATGTTGAATCATCCTTGCATAACTAGGATAAACCCCACTTGGTCATGATGATTAATCTTTTTAATGTATTGTTGAATTTGGTTTGCTAGTATTTTGTTGGGGATTTTTGCATCAATATTCATCAGAGATATTGGTCTATAGTTTTCATTTTCTGATGTCTTTGCCTGGTTTTGGTATCATGGTCATGCTGGCCTTGTACAATGAGTCTGGAAGTATTTCATCTTCTTCTATTTTTTATAACAGTTTAAGTAGGTTGGTGAGAAGGGTATATGTTTAAGCCATTATATTCTTTGTGTTCCTGTGCTTCATGCATCTGAAATACTCAATTAATGTTAGTTAAATTAAACAATTATTTATGTATATATAATGTTAATTTTTATGTTATCAAAGTTAGACTCTCTTCATAAAAGTACTATAGGGTAATGATTAAGAACAAATATTGGTGTCAGCCAGACCTCATTTTAAATTTTAGCTTCTTCAGTTTTTAGACTGGGCAAAGCACTTGGCTTCTCTAAGCTTTATTCTCGTCATCTTTAAAATGAAATTAATAAAACAATTATTTTTCAAGTTTGTAAAGATTAAATGAGATAATACAGGTAAAGTATTTAAAACTAAGGAATTTTTAACTATTATCAATAATATGGTCTAGGTTAGACTTACCTTTTGTAAGTTTTTCTTTCTTCAAAAGAAAAATAATGCTGTGAAGGTTAAAGTGATTAATCCATAATTGGCAGGTATTTAGTTCAAATTTTAAAAACTTGTGGCTTGTGGATATGGAATAATGTGATACCTGGTTCATCTTCTGCCTTAAAATACACTGGAAAAAAAAAGAAAGATGCTTAATATGTAGGCATTAACAACTTGCTAAACAAGACAGTTCCTTGCATATCAAAGCAGCTCCTCCTCAAAGCAACCAGTTAAATAACCCAACACCTGGCTTAGATGAGTTACTAATTTCATACCAATTATGAAAGATTAGCTATAACTGGCAAAAAAATGTATTTTCCAGAGTGTCAGCATCAGCTTCACCAAACTGCCCTCAACCCACAAAAGCCAAATGTTCAACGGATATCCTGTGAGCAGTTAGCTTTCCAAATCTCTTACGACAAGCTCTTTAATTTGCTTACAGGTGTAACATGCCACCAATAACTGAACTGGTTTGAATTTTATAGTGCAGCATCTACTGATATCTTTCCTTCCTCCTAATTACAATTATTAGAGCTCCTTTTGACTTTGTCAATTTTGAATTCCAATGCATTGATTCTTCAAAGCTGTTTGAGTAATTGTGATTGTTTTTCTCCAACCAGGGATTAGTTATCTCAAGAATGAATTAGTAGATAATTGAATGACACAATTACCTCACCATAAAAACTAAGATAAGTTTAAGACAGAAAGTAAGTGTGCATGTGTGCAGAAATATATGTACATGCTCACACACAACACATAAAAATGATAATACTTTGATCATAATTATGGATACCCTAATTACCCTGACTTGATCTTTACATTCTACACATGTAATAAATTTCACATGTACCCCATAAATAAGTACATCAACACATTTAAAAATAGAAAATATATTAAACTTAAAAATACTAATGCACGTATACACATCTATATGTAAATATATCTAATTTAATTTGAAAACCTTGATTTGCAGTGTCTATGTACTACATCAGCTTCTTCCTGTGAGATGGAGAGAAGGTCAACCCAAACACTATAAATGAAATTTGTTTCCCATAACATTATAGTAATTTAATTTATTGCTTACATTTATTTTTGAGGTTATTTTGTCCCTTTGTTCATGTTGTTATATGTTTGTTTGGTGGTGGAGTTCTTTTGTTTTCCATTTGTTTCTTTTAAGTTAATTGTGCAGTTATTTAAGCAAAGAGTTTAATTATTTTGGGCTCAGTTCAGTCACTTGCTTGTTGCACCGCCACAATTTGGCCTCAAACACTTGAGCTGAACTCCTGCAATGTAACTCGATGAAATTATATCAATCATAATGACATGAATTACTGGTAATTAGAATGTGATAGAAGAATCTGTATGTTGAACTTTAAACTTGTTGCACTTCAAAGTGATTTCCTCATTATGGTTATATATGTACCAGTTTTACTCACAAATGACTACCTGGGCAGAAGTGTCTCATTTGAACAGTTCTAGTTTAACATTGTATAGTGTGGTGAATGTGAGGTTTTGGGCCAAAATAAATCAATCTCAAATGCTTTTCTGTGTCATATTGACCTTAATAATTCTGAAACTCGGTCTCCTTTAATGTAGAAGTAATAAAAATATTTTGTAAACATTTTATGAGGAATAGAGTTTGTATATACTGTGTGCCTAGTGGAGAGTGGTAAGCAGAAAAAGGGTGCTAAAGAAATGGTAATCTTTTTTTTTTTGTCAGGTTTGTCAAAGATCAGATAGTTGTAGATATGCGACATTATTTCTGAGGGCTCTGTTCTGTTCCATTGGTCTATATCTCTGTTTCGAAGAATGTGTATAGAAGAAAAGTCATGAAGTACAGACATTTTGATTCAGTAGCCAAGTAAGGGCTTATTCCTCAAAACAAGATTGCTTTGATTTTGGGACCAACTTAGTTCAACAAATGAAAGGATAAAACAAATATGATCATTACTAACTTTATCAGAGCAAAGGACAATGTGACATCTCAAGTTTCCCACCATAAGCAAATATTAAAGATACAAATAAATAAGGCGATTGCCTTCACTTCTGCAAGCATGAGTTCAGCTTTGGTGCAACTTCCTGAACTGACTTTTCCCTCAACCATACACAGCAGGAGAGTCCATTGGTGGTGTGTGAAAGGCTGTAAGAGGAAAGGCTCCCACATATGGCTCAGCCTCATTACAATCATACCTTGTTGCTGCCATTTCCACAGAATTAAGACTAGGAAGGTTTCGTTTGGGAAGGATAAATAAAAGAGGCTTCAAGCTGAGTAAAGTAAGTAAAGGAGAGGCAACACATGAAATTGGCATGCTGTATATGTTTTGATATGTGGTTGAGAATAAATGCCAATGTAGTACTTCCCTGATGCCACAGAGCAGAATATTTAAAACTTCTTCAATCTCTTGGACTAGGTGTTTTCCACCTGTTTTAGAAAGCTAGGTAGGAAGACTTTAAATACATGGAATTTGCAGAATAACATCCATATGCAGTCATGTATCACCTGATGGTGAAGATATATTCCGAGAAATGCACCTTGTTTAGTCATTGCACAAACATCATAGGGTATACTTACACAAACCTGGATGATAGAGCCTATTACACTCCCAGGGTATATAGTATAGCCTAGTGCTTCTAGGTTACAAACCTGCACAGCATTTTACTGTACTGAATACTGTAGGCAATTGTAACACAATGGTAAGAACTTGAGTATCTAAACACATCCAAACATAGAAAAGGTATAATAAAAATATGATATTATAATTTTATCGGGCCACCACCATAAACGCAGTCCATTGTTGACTGAAATACTGGTATGCAGTCCATGGCTGTATTTGTGGGTGTTATATGATACATATATGTAATGTAGCTTTATAAATATTATATGATCATTGTATTATCGGTGAAAGTCACATAAGAAACAAGCAAGTCTTCAAGCAAATCTTCACAGCGTAACCACCGTACTTCATTACTGAAATAATCCTAACTGCCTACAGTGAGGTATAGGATATCAAACTATACAAAACACTAACTTTGAACTTTTTGGATGTCACTATCCCAATTTTAAGTCTACATGGTTATTGTAACACCTTTGTTCCAGGTCATAACTCTTTCTGTTTTTCAAAATATGTTACATAGAAGAAGGCAGAGACAAACAAGCCCTGCCTCTTAAATGGTTAAAAAACTTAATAAAATGGTTAATTTTTCCTCAATACCAAGTGGTTATTTCTTTACGTTAATAACTGATCACAAAACTCATATAGTGCTGATTTCTCTCCAATTATGGACCCTAAAACTGATAAGTATGAGTAAGTTACTGGATTATCCATATACCACTATGCAATGTATACTAAATTTTCTACATGTGTATAATGTATTTTTTTTTAGAAGACGCTTCCATGGCTTATGTGATATTCTCAAATATGTAATCCCCACTAAATAGAAAAATAAACAACTACTGCCTTTTTTTGTTCTTGAGCTGCATCTCAAACCCAAAATTCGTTTCTATCAGAGATGAAAATTATTGGAGCACAATTGAATGTGATATACGGGGATGAAACCTCTTAATTTTCTTCTTATTTTAGTGATGATAGTGACAAAAAATGTATATACTCCAATGTGATAATATGTTTTCTGGGATTTATTCCAAATAAACAGCCAGGAATACTAATTTAGGCAAAGTATTCTAAAAAGTTGTTGCATATACATATGTTTTATGTTACTTAAGAATACCAATAATGCAAGAGTGTTACCCTTTCAGCTCAAGAATCAATACAAATATCCCAAATATCAGTACCCAATATTATAGATTTTACTTTTACACAGAGAGGCCTACCAACATTTTAAGTCATGTAATCTCAAAAACATCTTTACTTTTGGCTATATTAAGTTTTATACCAAGTTTTATCTTTAAGTAAATACAGAAATATTCAACTGAGCAAAAAAACTGCCCTGAAAAATTCAAAATATTCTTTCTCATCTCATATGGTGTGATAACACTGGAGTCTAAATCTCAGTTCTTTTATTTGTTCTCCTGTCTTGCTTTCCTCGATTAAAAAAGAGTGACTAATCCAATAGCTCCATGTCCCCAGTGGGTTGAATCCTGTTAGGGTCACTTTTAATGTGAATCCAGCCTTGTCTCTGGTCCTCCCAGACCTGTCTGTACATGGGCATTCGGAGTTCTCTCTCAACTAGTCTCCAGACATGTTATACGTGGCCTGTCTCTATAAACCCAGACCAATCTATACTCTACCTCTTTCAGAATCCCTCCTTGCAATGTATTGAGTGAATCAATAAAGTTATACCCTCCAAGATCTGGATTGGAGGAGGGAGGTACAAACTTTTCTCATGTTCTCTGATCCAATGTACCTGTAATCAAGCTCATATTTTGCCCCATTGGGCTCACTTCTTTGTAACATATTCTTATCAGCTAGCACTATGAGATAGAAGAAGGATGAGTGAAAAAAAAAGTACTTAGAACAAAAAACTTGAATTATTTGATATTCATAGAATACTTTTTCTGACAAGCTAAATAAAAAGAAAAAAATAGCAAAAATGGAACTGGCTAAGCACGCTCTCTACAGCCCAGATATTAGATTTTGGGTGCAAACCATGAAGGAATAATTGCAAATATGTCTGCCAAATTTCTCTAGAAAGTTTACTTTTGAAGCAACTACTGACTGCAATCCAACCATATCATTAATGTAAGGTTAGGGTATATACAAGCAAGCTCGGTGCACTGGCAAGGCAACAGGCCTACTAGCCTTACACAGTTAATTGGTATTAAGAACAGTTGACAAAATCATCTGCAGCCCACAACTGGCCAGGCAGATCCTTCTCTGACATGACAACAGAATTTAGATTAGTTACAATCCTCAGGGCAAAGATTTGAGCTAAAGGTAACTCAATTTTTACAGGGTCTATACTCAGTGCCAGAGAAAACTGTCTAACCCAGATTTCCTGTGCTTCAGGGAGGGAAGCTACCCTGGATTTTTTGGGGAAAAAAAAAGACATACTAATGAAAGATAAAACCTGCAAACCAGGAGAAAGTTCTACCTCCTAAGTGGAATATAACTATAAAAAGCATCTATTTTGAAGAAATTAATGACTCTTCCCATAAAAGTTTGTTAACTAACTGATGCATGCAAATGTTTTAGAGATATATTGCTAGCATCAATTATGTGGTGTTTAACATGAAATGTAAAGGAATATGGCTAACAAGAGCCCTCCAAACTGATGTTTTGAAACAGTTCAGTTGATTTCAATAGATGAAACATTTATGGTAATGTAGGTCACAATATAACCTCAAAGCTCTTTAAAACAATTATTATTTTCCAGATTACATTCACTTTTGTTTACATCCTAAAAAATAATAAGGCCTAAATTTTACAAGGGAAGGAAATAATATTTAAATACTATTGAATTAAAATTGCCCTTGTAGATAATTAATATGTTTAAATTAAAGTTTCCTGAACGTTGCTTAAGATGACTAGTGAATCCGATTGAAAGGAACCTGTATCTGAGATGTATTTCTTCTTTGAGTACTCTGAAACAGAGTGTGAAAAGAGTCCCCAAGGAAATTGATCAAGCAACTAATAGGTATCAAATGGCAATGACAGTACTAGGGTGGGCCATTGGATGCGACCTTAGCTGACATCCAAAAATATAGTCAACAAAGTCAAATCCATCAAGCAAATGATATATTTATTGGAAGTGTGGGGAGTTAAACAGCAGAAAAACATTATTTGATCTGGGTGCGGTGGTTCATACCTATAATAACAGTGCTTTGGGAGGCGAGGCTTGAGGCTGGTAGTTCCAGGATGAAGTGAGCTATGATTGTGCCACTGCACTCCAGGACAGGTGACAGAGACCCTCTCTCTAAGAAGAAAAAGTAAAAATAAATTATTTGAGCTAAGATTATATGATGGAGATGGTTACCTAAATACTAACTCAAGCCAGTGCATAGAAGGGAAGTGTACATCTGATTCAGTTGCCTCAGGAAACAGGCCCTAATTTGAAGCTTCTAATAGACAAGGCAGAATGTGCTGTAGCGATTCATGAGCATCTACTCGACATTAAACTTTTAATTGCTTTTTTTTTAAATTTACTACGAAAAGAATTTATTAGACAAACACACCAATAGATTGAGTCTAAGGATTTGGTTGGAAAGCCACCGGGCCTTTTAAAGCAGCAGAAGTCCAAAGTCACACACTTCAAGCATTACTCTGCAACGATCTGTGGAAACCAGAAGGGTGAGGAATTACAGCACCGTGCTAGGCCAAGAACAGATCAGCCTCCCACCTCTCTCCCTATTCCCTCTTCTACTGAAGTCCGTGATTCTGGTACCTGAGAAGACTGGAATGAAATGTTTCCCACTTATTACAGAAATTCAGCTTCTTTGTTACAGAGGAATTGTCACATTTGAATTGTCTGTTTAATATGGGATATTGCTTTTGAGAAACCAACAAATAGTTATTAAAGGAATGTTTACTAAAGCATAAGGTGAATGTTATCTAGTACAGTAACTGCATTTTTAATCTCATCTGGCACCAACTGTCTTAGAAAGTTACAATGTGTTGCTTGGGGGACATTCTTCTTTAGAAGGAAAAGAGTCTAATTAGTGGATATTAAGTAATTAAATAATATATACTATCAAATCTTATGAGAGTCTTTGCCTGCTAAAGTAGACACAGATCTGTTGCACTGCAAGTTTTGAGAACAGCTTGGACCAAACCACACAGTGACCCCAAAGGCATAAAAATGATAATGAAGGCAGCGATGGCTCAACTAATATCATGAAGTCTATTCATGAGGCTGCCTACTTTGATTTGCAGTAGTTGATACTTTAAAACTTCAGTCCTGGCTTATCTGCTTGTCCCAGGGATTCCTGGGCTCCCAGTAGTGAGCCAGGTTGCGGAAGAGCTAGCTCCATCAGCACACACTACATGTGGACACTTGGACTGGACTGTTTTTTGAAAGCACGAACTCAGCATTTTTAGATCTTTGTCTAGGATTCCGACTTGTAAACTTCTCATTGCTTTTCTCTGTGTGGATACATGGCTTTCCTGATTTCATCCTAAATTTTATTGTGGCTACTCTTACATCTCTAGATTGTTTGGGTAGGTATTCTTTCAAGCTTTGACTATTGAGTGACCTCTTGTATGCTACTTACTCATTTTTCACATATTATCCTTAGGAGGACTCCTTGTGGCTGCTATTAATGATGACATCCCACCTAATAGATTGTCCCTATTCCCATTCCTTGGACTAGGGGAAGATTGCCTCTTCTGTGAGAGATCTATGACACATTATTTATTTGCATTCATTATTGTAGATCCCTTTGGTATTCTGTAATTATTCAGCAAGTAATGCAAAACAAATTCAGATGAAGGTCCAAAAGTAAGGAATTTGTAGAGATGTACGGAAGTCTACACAAAAATGGATTCTACGGCCATATCAAAGTTCAATGAGATAAATTCTAAGGCCACATTTAAGTTCTGTGAGAAAACAATGTATTTATTGGTTAACCTTAGCTAACCATAGGATGCAGAATTTTGCCTTGTTTAGAAGTGAAGTTTGACCCATAGTATGCATATTTTTTGTCTAGTGTCCTTTAACTTTTAAAACTACCTCTCTCTTTTCATTTGGATGCAGATTCAATCTTGATACTATGAAGTACACCTATTCCCCTCCCTCTTCAACTTCATGAATGAGAATGAGTTCTAAGCCTTCTAATTATATTACCTGTCCACGTTACTTTAGTAATTCTTATAAAGCAAGCAAACGACCCAATCACAATCTTTCTGAGAAACTGATTTGAGTTATTCAGGAGGAAGAAGCATTCTTTTCCCTCTGAAATTGCTAGGAGATGATATATTTCTGAAGCTACCAGTAGCCGCCTTTTCAATTGCATGGAGAAAGACAGGAGACCAACATACTTACACACACACACATACACAAGAAAAAAAACAGTTCAGCAGAGATATGCACTGTTAATAAATGGACAAAGAGGTATTGTTTTAAAGACACTAATAATTGCTTAATTCCTGCTACTGAGGAATTAATTTTGTTCATAATTATTTATATAATTATTTCATTAACTGCACTCAGTATCCTTCTAGCTAAGCTATAGTGATATCCTTTTTGCTCAAGCCATCTATACATTTATTTTTTAATAAATATTTATTTGGTGCCTATGATTTGTTAAGCTACTCTTTCAGATAATGGAAATATAGCTACAAATAAGAAAGACCAATTCGTGACCTTAAAGATTTCACATTCTGGTGGAGAGATAAATGAAGAAGATATAAAAGTAACTATTTAAAGTGGATTAGGTAATGGTATGTGCTAAAAAGAATAAAATAGGGTAAGAATATGGGTGCTTTGGGGAGCAAAAAGGAGTCCAAATTTTATATAGTATAGCCCAAGAAAGTATTTTGAATTAGACTTCTGTCTCATATTACAAAGCTCAACATAATTTGGGTCCATAATTCTACTAATTTTATTTATCATATATAAAATTTTTTAATATTTGACATTCCCCTCATATTTTCATTGAACAAGTCTATTCCACAAGACTATAAATGTAATCTTATTTTGTAGCATTTATTTCACCTTTTAAATGCTTTCATATTATTTGATTTTTAATTCTATAAGTTCATTTAAAGTTTTATAATTTTAAGTTGCTTTAAAAACTCAAATCCATACTCTTCGTTTGAAGCCAATAAGAAGTTTTTAGTAGTTTTTAACAATAACTATGATAGCTGTATTAATTTTTTTGGTTATAATGCTATACAAGAAAGTCTCAGTGGCTTATCACAATAAACATTTTATCTCACATTCATGGGTTGGCAGTTTTGATCCCTTGATAGTTCACAGGAGCTTGAAAAAGAAAGATAAGTGCCGATCGTCTTCTTCTTCTTTCTTCTTTCTCCTTCTTCTTCCTCTTTTTTTTTTTTTTTTTTTTTTTTTTTTTTTTTTGAGACAGAGTCTCCCTCTGTCGCCCAGGCTGGAGTGCAGTGGCGCGATCTCAGCTCACTGCAAGCTCTGCCTCCTGGGTTCATGCCATTCTCCTGCCTCAGCCTCCTGAGTAGCTGGGACTACCAGCACCTGCCACCATGCCTGGCTAATTTTGTTTTTGTATTTTAGTAGAGACGGGTTTCACCGTGTTAGCTAGGATGGTCTCTATCTCCTGACAAGTGCCAACCTTCTTCTTAGGGACATGGCTCAGAACTATCACCTTATAATTTCAAATTCCCATAAGTGCAAGTCAGCAAGGTCAAGTGCACCACAAGTAGGATGAAAAAGTATATTCTACTTACAGTGAACCATTGCAAAGACAGAGAGGAAAAGAAGGATTTTAAATAATATCATCTACTACAGACACTAAATGTAATTTTACACACTGAGTACTATAATATAAAGAAGTGATCTAAATATGGCAGCACAACAGAAATTCTAGAAACCTGGCCCTATTGAGGTCACATAGGACTGTCAGAAAACAGGCAGGACTTAAAAAAAATCTGTGTAAAGTTGATGTATTAGTCCATTTTCCCACTGGTGTAAAGTTACTACCTGAGTCTGGGTAATTTATAAAGAAAAGAGATTTAATGTATTCACAGTTCTGCATGGCTGAAGAGGCCTCAAGAAACTTAAAATCATGGCAGAAGATGAAGGGGAAGCAAGGCACATCTTACATGGCGGCCGGAGAGAGAGAGAGACGAGGGGGAAGCACTAGACACTAATCAAACAACCAGATCTCATGAGAACTCACTATCACAAGAAGAGCATGGGGCAAACTGCCCCTATGATCCAATCACCCCCACCAGCTCCCTCCTTCAACATGTGGGGATTACAATTTGAGATGAGATTTGGGTGGGGACACAGAGCAAACTATATTAGGTGATATGCCTGTAAATGAATTATCTCCATACAATTGCCTGAACATATCATGCAGTTCTATGCCTCCCTTCATTTCTACCTGAAATTCTCTGTCATTAACTCTTGAGATTCTCCTCTGCAAAGCCCTGCTTGGCATTCTCTCCTCTCTGATTTAACATCATTTCCTGTATTTGCCCTTTATAACAGTATGTGTACATGCTTGTAACACATTTATTATAATTTATTAGAAATTTTCTCTGATTGAATGGTTTATTAGCACCATGGGTTTTCTGGAGATGAGCACTGTACATTTACATCTGTATACTGATACTTAGTTTAGTTCCCAGCTATAGGAAATTAAAATATCAGACAATCCATTTAGTCTAAATGACCTCTAAAATTTCTTCCCACCCTAATATTATACACAAAGCATTGTGTTATCACAGGATTAGGAAGGTTGTTTTAATAAAATATCAGTGAGTCTTCAGTCCCAACAATGATGAAAAAATTTCAGCAACAACAATTGAGAAAGTTAGTTTGTTTGCCGCATTTAAATAGCATTTTCTCTAACCTTTAGCTCCCAATCTTAGATTTCTTATCCTCAGGACTGTCAGGACTATCTTATCCTTTTTTCATTCAGTATTTAGTTGTGCTTAGTCTTTGAACTGCTGTTTATTCTGCCCATCATTTCGCAATGATTTTGGCAGACAAAGCAGTCTATGCACAGCCAGGTGTTCACCTTGGCACCCTCACCCCTGGAAAGGGTTGATTCAGATGTTTCCCACACCTGCGAATTGGCTGCCCAATCTTAGCCAGCTCCCATGAACTTAATTATCATTCTGCATTTCAAAATTCAAAAGCAAAATATTTCAAGAGAACGTGCATAAAAATTCAGATGCTGCTGCTTCCTGAGATCCCATCATGTTCTCCCCCCAAAAACACTACTGGAAACAAATTACTGTTTCTCCATAACCATTTTATTTTGATTTGTGGGATGTGTAAATGGAATGCAACTCATTAGGTCTGAAGAGCTGATTGATTTCAATGGCAAAAGCATCTCTGTTTGCCCAGATTAAGTCCAAGATGCTTAACCTATGATCCAGGGGCAAGTCAAGGGTCCATGGATAATCCTAAAATTTTAAATGTCTGCTTTTGGAGCATGTTACACTAAAACATCAAAAGATGAAATTTTATAATGAAATGAAATTATAAAATTAGAGACCTAAAATGTCTTCTCATAGGTTTCTCTTTTCTAACTCTTAGCCAAGGACTTGCTTTATTTCCTCAAGGCAGAATGTTTTTGAATGCACTAAAAGCTATTCATTTGTTTCAGCCTTTCATGCTGTTTCATTTGTGTTTTTTTTATTGTACCAACCTCTTGATCATAACTCCATGTGTGTACTGCATAACCATGTGACAGGGACCTGGGGATTGATATACAATGGCTAGACAATCTGCTGTTTAAAAACACAACACCATTGAACTGCTTGTTATTTACCCAAGAAAAATCAAAATGTATTTCTATACGAAGACATACATTCAAACATTTATAGAAATTTGAAATAGCCTAAATTGGAAACAACTCAAATGTCCATCAACAGTGAATAAGTAAAGAAATTGTGGGTTATCCATACAGTGGAAAATGACCTAGCAATAAAAGTAAATGAGCTCCCCAAATATCCAAAATAGTCTTTAAAAAGAAGAACAAAGTTTGAGAGTTCAGACTTCACAATTACAAAATTTACTACAGAGATGCAATCATCAAAACTATGGTACTGGAATAAGAATAGGCACATAGATCAAAGGAACAGAATTGAGATTTCAGAAATAATCTCGTGCATTTATAGTCAATTTTTGACAAGGTTATCAAAACAATTTAATGGAAAAAGAATCTCCTTTTTAACAAATGATGCTGAGACAGTTGGATATCCACGTGCAAATGAATTAAGTTGGACCCCTACCTCCCACCATATCCATGATTAACTCAAAATAGATAAAAGATCTAAATGTAAGTAACAAAACTTTAAAACCCTTAGAAGAAAACAGATATAAATATTTGCGACCAATAATTAGGCGATTTCTTAGGTCTAAAACCTAAATCACAAGAAACCAAAACATAGATAAATTGGACTTTATGTAATTTAAAACTTTTTGCTTCAAAGAATTCTATAAAAGAAGAGAAAGGACAATTTATTAAATGGGAGCAAATACTATTAAATTGTGTATTTGATTAGAGTCTGGTATCTAGAATACATAAAACATTCTTACAGGTCTACAATAAAAAGACAAGCAACCCAATTTAAAAATGATCAAAAGATTTGAATACATATTTTCCCCAAACATACATAAAATCTTCAGTAAGCAAATGAAAAAAATGCTAAATATGATAAGACAGCAGAAAATGCAAGTAAAAATCAAAATGAGATACCTCTTCATTAGGATGGCCATAATAAAAAAGACAATGACATGTTTTGGCAAGGATGTGGACAAATCAGAATTCTTATGCATTGCTGGTGGGAACATGAAATGGTACAGCCAATTTGGAAAACAGTCTAACAATTCAAAAAGTTAAACATAGTGCTGCCATATGACCTAGCAATTCTACCTCTATGTGTATAGCCAAGAAAACTGAAAAATGTATTCTCATGCAAAATTGTACAGAAATTTTCACAGCAACATTGTTCATAATAGTCCTAAAGTGAAAACAACCCTAGTGTCTATCAACTAATGAACAGAAAAGGAAAATGTAATATATATAAAACATAGAACATTATTCAACCATGAAAGGAATGGTACACTAATATATACCACAATATGATTAACCTTGAAAACATTATGCTCAGCAAAAGAAACCACAGGTAAAAGGCCACATATTGAATGATTCATTTATATGAAATGTCCAGAATGGACAAATGCATAGAGAAAGAAAGTAGATTAGTGTTTGCCAGGGTCTGGGGAAGGAGCAAATGAGAATGACTGCTAATGTGCATGATATTTTTTTCTAGACATATGGAATTGTTCTGGAATTAGTGGTGATGACTGCACAATCATGAAAATATAATTAAAACTACTGAATTGTACACTTTAAAAGAGTAAATTTTATGGTATGTGGCATATATCCCACTAAAAATGGGTACTCTATGGATACATTAAACAACATTGAAACATCTCAAAATAATTAACACTGAGTGAAAAAAAACCTATACAAATATTTACTATATGATTCTATTTATATATTATAGAAAATGTGAACTGATTTGTAATGGCAGGAGGCACATAGATTAGGGGTTACCTGATAGAAGAGGTGACAGGAGGAAGGAATTACAAGGGAGCATGAAGAAACTTTTGGGAGTGATGAATATATATATTTTCTTGATTGTTTTAATGGTTCTACAATTGTACACATATGCCAAAATTTATCACATTGTTCACTTTATATACATGCAATTTATTATATAAGAGGATTTCAAAAAGTTCATGGAAAATAGAATTAAAAGACAAAAATAAAAGTGTATACTATTTGTCAACACAACCTTCATCAAGTTCAAGGCATTTTTAAAAATTTATTATACTTTAAGTTCTGGGATACATGTGCAGAATGTGCAGGTTTGTTACATAGGTATACATGTGTCATGGTGGTTTGCTGCACCCATCAACCTGTCATCTTCATTAGGTATTTCTCCTAATGCTATCCCTCCCCTAGCCCCCACCCGCTGACAGGCCCCAGTATGTGATGTTCCCTTCCCGATGTCCATGTGTTTGCATTGTTCAACTCCCACTTATGAGTGGGAACATGTGGTGTTTGGTTTTCTGTTCTTGTGTTAGTTTGCTGAGAATGATGTTTTCCAGCCTCATCCATGTCCATGCAAAGGGCATGAACTCATCCTTTTTTATGGCTGCATAGTATTCCATATATATGCCACGTTTTCTTTAACCAGTCTATCACTGATGGGCATTTGGGTTGGTTCCTAGTCAGTGCTGCAATAAACATACATGTGCATGTGTCTTTATAGTAGAATGATTTATAATCTTTTGGGTATATACACAGTAATGGGATTGCTGGGCCAAATGGTATTTCTGGTTCTAGATCCTTTAGGAATTGCCACACTGTCTTTCACAGTGGTTGAACTAATTCACACTCCCACTAACAGTGTAAGCAATCAATGATACCAGCCATTTAGTCTATTTCTAAATAACTGAGGATGCTGGGAGTTTAACCATGTCAATGCAGTCTTTGTTATATTACTAGCTGAAGAAAAAATAGATGTCTTTTATAGATTTCTTAACATTAGGAAACAAAAAGAAGACAGAAAGAGCTAAATCAGGACTATAAGGTGGATACCTAATGATTTCTGATCAAAACTCTTGCAAAATTGCCACCGTTTGATGAGAGGAATGAGCAGGAGCATTAGCATGGTGGAGAAGAACTCTCTGGTGAAGGTTTCCCGGGCATTTTTCTGCTAAAGTTTTGGCTGACTTTCTCAAAACATTCTCATAATAAGCAGATGTTATTATTCTTTGGCCCTCCAGAAAGTCATCCAACAAAAATGCCTTGAGTATCCCAAAAAAACTACTGCCATGGACTTTGCTCTCAACTAGTCTTCATTTCCATCTTTTGGTAGTCATTGCTATGACTGTGTTTTGTCTTCAGGATGATACTGGTGGAGCCATGTTTCATCTTCTATTACAGTTCTTTGAAGATATGTTTCAGGATCTTGATCCCACTTAATTATAATTTGCATTGAAAACTCTGCTCTTGTCTACAACTGATCTGGGCACAACAGTTTTGGAATCTTTAATTTTTCAATCAGAATTGTGTAAGTTAAACCAGTTGAAATGTCCATGGTGTTAGATGTTGTTTCTGCTGTTAATCATCAGTCTTGTTCAGTTAAGGCATAGACAAGATTATTTTTTTCCTTGCAATTTGATATGGATGACCTGACACTGTGGGCTTTATCTTCAACATTGTCTCACTTCTTCTTAAAATGAGTTAGCAATTTATAAACTACTGATTTTTAAAAACTTTTTATAAAGCATCAACAATTAGACTATTCTTCCACCCGAGTTTCACTATAAATTTTATGTTTGTTCTTGCTTCAATTTTAGTAGAATTCATGTTACTTAATAGAGGCTTTTTTACAAACTGATGTTTTATCCTTCTTAGTGCCTCAAACTAGATCTTGTTCAAATATGTTGTAACATATTAGTACAAGTTTATTTTGGTGCAAAACATTTTTAAATCCTCACATCATTTTTCATAATGTACATTTTCTATAAACTTTTTGAAGACCTCCTCATATGTTCATTATTTCTTTATCGAGTGACATTTTTTTTGGAAAAATGCCCAAAACCTCAATACCAAACCTAATAGTGGTGGGTCAATTATTCAACTTGGAGAAGACAGGAGCAAATACCATGTTAAGAACATGCCTTTTTTTTGTTGCATAGGCTGAGAGCCAGAAAAAAACTTCCAGAAAACTGCTGTTAATATTTTATCTTATAGAATTTTTATGATGAGATAAATTCAGCTTGAGAAGTAGCAATCAGTTTGAAAACATGAGCCTGTAATCTATAGTACATGAGCCTCAAAGTCAGTTATTTCCAGTATTAAACATAAATATTCAAGTCCTAACTAGTTTTATCTCTACAAATCTTCACCATTTTCATACAGATAGGGTATAGGGAAAAGCACAATAAAAATGGAATTTAATGAAAACTATTTGGAATTCACTGTTTGGTGGCCAGACATAAGAATTTATGCTGGACCTGTTTCTGCATAGAGGGGTAAAAAGCAGACATTATTTACTTTAGCCAACTCAAGGAGAGGATATAACTCAGTTGTATTAATTTGAATTTCGAATATAAAGATGGCAACACTTTCTTGGCAATCAAAAAACAACATAACACAGTAATTCCTCAAAGTTAGAATATATTATTTAGATAACAAAGATTTGTCTCTTTATTAGCATCATTCAGGCTTCTGGCAGTGGGCAATCACAAGAATGTTTGGTCCAAATGAATGACCAAAGAAAACATGGTCACAGGCATTTGTAAAGCTAATTAGAATTATGTAAAAGACTGAGCTGTATGTGAAGCAGGTCTTTGCCTTTGCATATCCCTAGTAACTAAAACAATTAGTAATCAATAACTGACCATTATCTTTAATGAATTAAGTGTTCTAGGCTTCCAATGACAAAATTGTGTGTTGTTATTAAAGTGAAGCACCACTTTAAAAACAGTGTAAGTATAGAGTGGATCCTGCATATGTTTGCTTGTGTGTCTGTGTGTGTGTGTACTACACTGTGTGTATTACACGTACATATGCATAGTGACAAAGAAGCCATCAATTTAGAGTCTCACATAGGTCTGTGACCTAAATATGGTGAAGATCACATGTTTACACCCAGAAATTACTTTTTTTAAAGCTCCCCTTTTAAGACTGATGGACAAAAAGATAACTCTTGCTTCACAGCTGGCCCCAGTTTGAGGAAGTGATGTTAAGATTCTTTAAAAGGAGATCTCAGGAACTTACCCACCATGTCCCAGCTAAACTATCCTATACAGTCTACCCTCCATACTTGCCCATTTTGCATCCATGGATTTAACTAATCATGAATGGAAAATATTCTCTCCCCAAAAACCGCAATAAAAATAACAATACAACAATAAAAATAATACAAATAAAAGGAATACAGTATAACAACTATTTACATAGTATTTGCATTATATTAGGTATTATAAGTAATCTAGAGATGATTTAAAGTATAGGAGAGGATGTGTGTAGGTTATACACAAATGTGCCGTTTTATACAAGGGATTTGAGCATCACAGATTTTTGCTTTTCATGGGAGGGACTGGGGAGTAAGGAGGTGTCCTGGAAGCAATCCCCCTTGGAGACTGAGGAACAACTGTACTTGTTCCCTAGACTCAAAAATTCTTTCTCAGCTTAGGTTCTTTGGAATGCTTTTTCTCTGAAACTTTGCATATCAGAATCTATCTCATCTTTCAGCAAAGAGGAATTATTGTTCATCTTTTTTTAGTGCCTCTCCCAACCCAAATTATGCTGTATCTCCCTGTATATTATGCTGTATATCCCTGTATATTTCTTACAGCACTTAGCACATTCCACTATATGTTTTTATTTTTCTAAAAAATTTGCTTTGGGTCTCACTTCTCCAATTAGAATATAAGTTCCATGAAGGGATAAACCTTATCTATTTTGTTCTCTGCTAAATGCCCAATACTCAAAACAAAGACTGACACATAGTAGAAATTTAATAAACAATTGTCAATGAACAAATGAATGAGTTAAGTATAGTGACTTTAAAAGGAAAGCTTGTGTTCTTCAAATGCTATGTAACTCTGTCAGGTGTCACCTACAAAAATAACTTAGAATCATGTCCAGCTCCCAGCTCAGGAATTATGAAGATCCTTTCTCTCCACAATACTGTGACCATCTCACTCCACTCTAACAGTTCAATATTTTTTGAACATCGCCTATATCCAAATCTTTTATTAGGCCCTGAAGATAGAAAGATGAAACAAGGCCTTCAATTATTTTCCCTGTTTGGAGGACAAGGAACTAAAAAATATGAAACCTGAATCAGGAGATATCATCTCTAGGTAGTGCTTCCAGTGGGCTTAGTGCAAGAAGAGAGTGATGTAAATGATTAAGCTCAAGTTTGGGAACAGTCTGTGAATTTTAATTATCTCTCCCATCCCTATGTCCCATTGCCATGGATAATTGAAAGTTGGCCATATTGCTAGGTAACGCTTCATTCCCTACATAACTTGGCACTTAGAAAACATTTTGCAAGAGAAGCAATTACAGCAATTGTCTCATCCAGGGTGGGTGGAGGGTGGATAGAAATTTACTCCTGACGATATTTTTGCTCTTTCAACATATTTATAAGATAGATTCTTCAACCTACTTCTGAAAACCTTCAAATATATGTGTGTGTATATATATATACACATATATATGTGTATATATATATATACATATGTGTGTGTATATATATATATATATATATTCAGTTGCTATACCTACCAAGCTGTGTGGGGAGAGAAGGGTATTGCAAGAGGTGCATACCATCTCATGCCCCACAGTTGCTTTCCAACCTCCTTATAGGTGGGTGCTCTGAGTAATAATGTCTATGGTCCTTGCTTTCCCCCAACACATGTTCGTGGAGGAAGGTACGCTCAAACTGCAGTTAATCAAAGTTTTGAAGACTAAACAGACAAAATACAATATAGCTTCGGGAGAGTGTGTTAGATTGTGTTGGAGTATTTCTTTTTGCCTTGCGATCATGTGTTGCTTTGGGGGAGAGAACCCGTAAAATGTTCAAAGTGTTTAAGCACCAAATTTCTCCTTTGTTCATTTCATTGCCTTCCCTAAACTGCCTTTCTTCCTGAATCAATGTTTTATCAGTTTGAGAGAGTGAGTTTATACTTTCTAAAACATGGCACTTGAGACAATCCTTCTAGAGCTAGAATGCCTGGGTGGATCTGCGGTGATTCTGATTTCCATTCTAGTGGTCATTACTACTCCTCCAGGAAAGTAACTGCACAATTTCCCAAATCCCCACTACCCTCTGTGGCCCAGACAGAGCAGAGGTATTTCTCCAGCAAGAGAGAGAAGCAGCCAGCTTAGTCCTGGGCTGAGTAGGATCCATTTGTTGTTATCGATACAACTATCGGTGTTTCTTGATATGTCATTTGGTAGAAGGGCCTGGGCTTTATAAAATACATGATTCAGGAAGTATATCAAATGCAGGTGCCTGGGTCAGAACAATAAAACTTACTGAAACCTGCAAAGCTATCAGGATTTCCAACTAAAATTTTAAATATCTTCAGCTCTGTGTTTGTATGTGGAGTTTTTTTTTTATATGTTTGTTTTGGTTATCCTTTTGTTTTGGGTAGTAGATCCCTCTTTTCAGGGTACATTTTAGTTCTCCTTCAAATTATTTCACTTCCTGTTAATTTTTTAAAGGTGAGGGGGATGCTTTTTAAACTTAAAGTTATTATAAATTACAATATAGGCAAGATATGCCTTATCTAAAGAGCTACTCTCAGGCAATTGATTTCTACATATTTGCATGATATTTTAAGATTATTTCTATCAAGAACAGAAAACAGATTTCTAATGTCATTATTGAAATCATTTTTCCTCCCTATCATAAGAAATTCACAGGAGTCTCATACTAGCTAATTTGTGTAAATGCTGAGGTTGAACTTTCACAGGGTACTGGAAACATTCCTGGCTCTCCCGATCAGGGTCAGAGTTTCTGCTGTGTGCTCCCATGGTGTTCTGTAAATCTCCTTTGCAAACTTTGCACAGTGACAAATGGTTATTTGTGTGACTTTTGCTGACTAAGCCCTATATGCATGCCACTATGCTAAGTGCTTTGCAAACATTATATAATGTAATCTTTACAATAACCCTATGAGCTCAATACTTTCATAAGTCAATATTGTAGAAATAAAAATTATGTCTGAGAGATGTTAGGTAACTTGCTTGAGGTCACACAATTTGTAATTGGCAGCACCATGATGTACTGAGGGTTATGTAATTTCAATGGACATGAAGTTAACCACCATGCAAAATTAACTTTCCACTTGATAAACTAACGCTGGATTGTTTTCTTAAAAGCATTTTCAATTGCTCTTTAAGGATAGTTTACTGAAGAGTGCAAGACAACTGTCCACATTTTGGTACCCAAGATTGATAACGGATAACTTCAGATGCAACTTTGTCATAACCAACAAAGTTCAAGAGAGTATAGCCACACAAGATAGGAGAAGGCTGCAAAAAGCTTTCTGGGCACTGTGCGTGGTAGTTATGCAAGAATAACTGCTATTCAATCTGAATCAAGTATTGGAACGTCCATGGGCCAGGGTTTTGAACATCTTAAGGGACAAAACATTTAAGCAGGATTCAAGAAGCTAAATTCTTCTTCCTCTTCAGAGGAAGCTTGAATATGGACCCATTGCTCAGAAGGTTATTCAACTTTTCACTGCTCTAACTGTAGAGTAACCAAAATTGATATTTTTTGCCTTGAAATTTTATTATTTTAACAGTGGATGCCACTGATTACTTGACATTCCCTATATTGTATTACAGTCTTTAAATTATTTTCCACTTCTATTTCTGCCTTTATTTCCTGAGTCCTAACCTAAGGTACAATTCCTTCCTGATTTTCATAAAATTGTATCTCTCCACCTGAGATAGAATGAAGGAGGAAAGTCTCATTTCAAATAAGGGTGACAGATCTACTCAGGTAAGCAAGGAAGAGTCCCCGTTAGTAGCTATCTGCTGTTTATGGCTGCCCAGAACACCTGTTTCATTTAGGGAACTGCACCATACCTTCTAATGTGGGTTTGGTGAGATTGCCAATTACAGTGACTCAGCCCCTTGGTCATAATGGTGGAGAAAAGAAACAAAATAAAACAGTATTTAACTACTCGTAGTATATTCTATTCCCATGGAGGTAATGTCTCATCTAGAGTACATATTAGGTCTAAGGAGAACCAATCAGAGTCCTCCTCCTGATTGAAATAGATACGGGGGAAGTGAAGCTTGCTTTCTACTATATCTAAATTGGAAGTGTGTTAGCCTGGAGTTCCAGGAGCCATTTTTGCCCAATAATATGGAAGATGCTAACTTCAATATGAATGAATGAAGACATCAAACAGAAAAAAGTAAAGCTAAAACATGGAAAAAAAATCTCAATAGCATTTAGTTTTCTTAAAGTTAAAATCATTCTTGTACTTTCTAGATACAGAAGCTGGTTAATTTTCTTTGGAGATTAAGTTAATTCAATTGATATTATAGCGCTTTAAATAAAAGTTCCTGATTAATGCCAATAAAATAAAAATGGAGTAATGACAAAAAAGGAACATTACTACTTCATAACTATTATACTACTGAACCATCATTTATCAAACTAAGTTTTAGGATGTTAATCACTGTTCTGTCCTCAAAAAATATGTGCCATGTTCAAGTAAGTAGGTTGGGATTTAACCTATTTGTATTTTAACACACACACACATAAAATATTTGGCTTAAAAGTAATCAGATTTCTTTACTGAAAAATTTCAAAGAGATTTAAAATGTCACGTAATGTGTTATCAAAGTATTTATCGCACTTTTACTTGCTATAACAATGTCCTGTAAGTACTTAAACTGATAAAACATAAGAGCAAAATAGTTACTATTTCTACAAAAACTAAGTTAACTTTCTTTGAGAACAATAAAATTAGATATTTTAAAAATACACATAGAAAGACCAGTGTAAAGTGTGAGAAAAAAATCAAACATTTACAATGATTTATATATATATACTATATATATAAAACACATTAAATAATCCAACAACTATAATTTTTGATCAACTAAGCTGTTCATAAATATAAACTTTTACTTAATTTTATTGTTATTTCTGGATTTATAAATATATATATTTTTTTTTTTTAAAAGTAAAGTCATAAAAAAGTTATCAAAGTCCTTCAAATTTTGCCACGAGGAATAATGATTGGCAACCTTAAGTATACTTCACTCAGGATGTCAAGCTATATATACACACACAATATATTTATATATATATATATTTATATACTTTATATGTATAGATTTTTACGTGTTTAATTTATATATATAGAAATGATTCACGAGATTATTATTTATAAAAAATATTACTAAAATGGACTCATGCTCTCTATATTTTTAAAATAAAATATTGAGATTGATTATAAAATTAACTTAAGTAACAAAAATTCTGGTTTTAATTAAATGAAAGTAGTGAATTTAGAGAAATGCTTTTTAATAGTAAAAGGTATTACTATACTAAAATATCTCAATATAACTTAATTAAAAACCATGATAATATTGAGGCTGAAATAATTATTTTTAACTGCCTATTACAAGTTTAATCAAGCTTAAACTGTGTCAATCGACTGCTATTAAAGTTGAAGAGGAACTGCATCCTCTTTCCAATTTTCTTAATTATATTGTAATTTTAAACTGTCATTGCTTTTAACATATATATTATCTTTTGCAATCATTATTTTTAATTTATTTAAAATTGATTAAATGCATACTACTAGTCTTTTTCACACATATTCAGTTCTAAGTCCTTTATTTTGAATTAATTCCTCTGTGGGCTAGATTTCATTGTCAAAATTATTTTCCTACAAGAAAAACGGGTTGGCGCTATAATTGTTGGATTTTTGCTTGTTTGAAAATGTCTGTCTCTTGGCTTTATTTACACTAGAAGAACAATTTGGTAGGATGTAATTTTTCTTTTTGTAATACTTTGTTTTATTCAAAAGACAATGTGCATTGCCCCACAGTTTTCTGATACCATATACTGTTGTGGGAGAAAACTTAGCTGAATTTTTCCTCACTGGCAACTTGCTTTTTCTTCCTGGACAATGAACTTCCCCTTTTTTCTTGAAGCATCTCCAAAATATATATATATATATATATATATATATATATATATATATATTTTTTTTTTTTTTTTTTTTTTTTTTTTTTTTGAGATGGAGTCTGGCTCTGTTTCCCAGGCGGGAGTGCAGTGGCAGGATCTTGGCTCACTGCAACCTCCACCTCCCAGGTTTAAACAGTTCTTCTGTCTCAGCCCCATTGAGTAGCTGGGATTACAGGCACATGTCACTAGGCCTGGTTAGTTTGTGTATTTTTAGTAGAGACCAGGTTTCATCATGTTGGCCAGGCTGGTCTCGAACTCCTTACCTCAGGTGATCCACCCGCCTCAGCCTCCCAAAGTGCTGAGATTACAGGCGTGAGCCACCATGCCTGGCCCCAAGATTTATCTTTACATTGATCTTTCAGTTTTATTTTCACACCACTCAACCAATAGACTATGTATTCTTTTGAAATAGAAATCAAGATTCATTTCAAGAATATAGTTCTGCCACTATTAAATGTAAATCAATATTCTGGTCACTTTTAGGAATTTGCAAGTGTATTATTTTTCTCTTTTTTTTAAGAGGCGACATCTCACTCTATTGCCAGGCTGGAGTTTAGTGGCACAATCATGGCTCACTGCAACCTGAAACTCCTGGGCTCAAGTAATCCTCCTGCCTCAGCCTCCCAAGGATTACATGCCTCAGCCTCTGTCCCTGGCGCTAGGTGCATTTTTAAAGGGCTGATGTAATTTCACATTTTGTATTTGTGAAATGTCTCAAAATGGCATGCTACTTTTAATTCTTTTCTAGATTTTCTCTGTGAGACTAGAGATAATTTTATCATCAATGACACCATCAACTAAAAGATGCAACAGCATTTTATGTAACACTACAAATGAAAATGTGATGTCAATTAAAATTGTACAATAATATCTATTGTTAGATATGCCTCAATTTTAAAAAGGTTAAAATATGAAAAAATGTGGATCTTATAATTGATGAAATATGAAACTATTCTCATTACACAAGTAAAGAAATATAACCAGAAACTTCCTTCCCCATGCCTTCTAATATTTATCCTCATTTTTCCTTCTATGCTAATAGCTTTCTCCATTCTAAGTCATATGGAGATAGAATGTAGATCTAGAAACTTAAGCTCACAATAACAGAAATATCAATAATGTCATATTATATTCAAATAAAAATCTGCATTACATATTAACCCCTGTCATTAGATGATTTTAAATAAGCCACGTTTATCCCAAAATCCATATCTTTTCTGATCCAGATGTTGACTAGAAGATTTATGATCTGTTGATTTTCTTCCTTTCATTTGTAGATAAAATGGTATTAATGGTCAATTGATTCTACTGCATAACCAAAATTTAGAATGGCCTATTACATTGCAGTTGTACCTTCATATCTAGTATTTTATCTTACAATTGATGGTCATTCTATGACCTTTTGAATAGTGAGTCTCCCTTGACCATTTGTAGATCCTTATTAGGTTATCTAAGAAGGATTCAGTTTAAAATGAATAAGAATATATTCTCTTCACTGAGGGTAGTTCTTGTTTTGTTCAGAAGTATTTGAAAGAAAAAAAAAACATGAGTATGATTAGTGGCTGTTAAGATAGAAATCCAAAAAAAGGAAAAAGGAAACTGAAGCTAATTTTGAGTTAACCTATTCTATTCCCAAAGGATGTTTTAGAAAATTATATTACCACGAAAAGTTTTATTAGAAATTAAGAATATGACTATATTTCAACTCCACCAAAAATAACAGTGTAATACTTGATGTGCCAATTAACCTCTTTGAAGCCCAGTTTTATAAACACTGCTAGATGCAAAGTATATAGAAAAATGTTCCCTCTATCTGGACAAGTAAAAACTGTGGTAAAACTGAAGTAACGTTATTACCAAAAGAAAGGTGAGAAGAATGGATATTGGGGTATAAGTAGCACTATCTGTCACAGAAAGCTACAAAAATAAACTATATAGTTAAATAAAAATAAATCTATAAATTTAGGATTGTAAATATATAGTGCCTTATCACTACATAGTTTTTTTAGACCTTTTATATATTTTCAAGCAAAACCTAATGGCTTTTTTGTTGCTACTTTAGAATTTTAATATTCCAGTTCAAAGAAAAAGTTTAGTGAAACACTTGAGTCAACCAGAATTGTTGCATTGGTTAGATTTAAGAAACTTATGATGCAATTAGTGATGCAGGTGAAGGCGTTTAAAATGCATGTTAATTTTTATCCTACCCCATTTAAATAAAGAGTTCTTTTGTTAAAGTGAGATGATTATCTCTAAGATATTGTTCTTGCATCAGATTTCCCAATTTAACCCACTTCTATGTTCTTGTAGGGTTTTAGTAAAGAGTATGATAATTGAACTGCTTTAGCTAATGATATCCCCTGATGGGGAGACAGGAAAGCCGAGCAAATTTTTGAGCAGCTGAAGATGCAATTTGGCCTGGCACGAGCCTTCTTTCTTACAAGAGATGGATGGAGGAAAAAAAGAAAAAACAATAAAAAATAAATAACTTCTTAAACTAATGTGCTTCAAAGATGAAAAAAAATCTCCTTGATGGCAAATACTCTCAGAATCTATGCCTCCACAGTATGTGGTGCAAGCTTTGACCTTTTAGTGTTTTAAACAAGTTATGTATTACATTTGAAAAAAGAATTCAGGAAAGCAGTATGTCATGCAATCTGGAAGTAAATTGTTTGATCCTCAAACCCATACTGTAACCCTGCTTTTCTTTCATTGCTCAAAATAAAATTGCTCTTTTTTTTGGAGTAGTGGAAATTACAGCTATAATTGCAGAGACTATGAAATCTTTTTCCCAAAAACAATTTGATAAAGCCAAACAGGCCAAAACAAGACAAAACAAGAAAATAATTTTTGAGCTGCAAAAATTAACCAAAGCCAAACTACAATCTTAAAAGTAATAATGGTTTAAAAATTGCTGAACATTGAGTAAGAAAGCAGAGATCTGTGGCAGTTTGGCCTGGGTATGATCACATTTTTTCTCGCCACCTAGTTCAGCATGATTGTTCTGCCAGAATGGATCAGACCATGAGAACTAACAGATTCTCTGCAGCAGGCAAAATGAATTTACTTATTTGGATTGGTAGGTGACACCAACACCCAACAAAACTTTTCAGATACAGGTAAATGGAGGAAGTCAACATGTCAAGTCTATGAGTCTGATATTGTGTGGTTGAGAAACAAGTACATTTCTGACTAAGACTAGTCACATATGCAGAAGAGACAAGAGAAAGTCAATCTATTCACACACTCCTGGTTGATTCTGAGCTGCAAGCTTGTGCATAGGGATACTTGAAAGAGTCTGATAGAGAAGACTTAAAAATGGCTCAAACTTTGAATGCATTTCCTCAGCTACTCACCCTCCTATTGGTAGAGATTGGAAGCCTTACTGGCTCAAGTAATTTGAACACAACATTAGTCCATTCATTGGCTGACAACAAAACTTGTCAAACACAGGAACAACCACCAAGTAGTGAGGCCTAAAAATCAAATTAACAGCACATATATAAATGGAGCAGATACTTGAGTGTCCACATATTATATGAAATACAGATGGCAGAGACTTAGCTGAAGCAAGTTACTAAGGAAAGAGTGAAACCAACAAAAGTAACAACAAACCTTTCAAGGAAAAAACATTATAGTCCAGAATTTTTACAATATATTATCTAAATCACCTAGTTCTCAACAAATCTTAAGTGTCATGTAAAGAAACAAACAAAAAAAAATGTATCCCCCACACAGGGAAAAAAAAGAAACAAAGAAACAGTCAATAAAATTTTTCTCTGAGTATTAACAGATATTAGTTTTAGCAGAGAAAGGCTTCAAAGCCATTTTATAGATACATTCAAAGGACTGAAGGAGACTGTTAAAAGAATTAAAGGAAAATATAAAAGCAATTAACAGAGATCCCTAATAAGGGTGTAAAAATTATAGAAATTGGATAAAATAGAGTTTCACAATACTAAAATTGAAATGAAAAATTTGTTAAAATAGCTCAAAAGCAGAAGAAAGAACAGTCAAATAAAGACTGATCAATAAAAATTATCTAGTGCAAAAAATAGAGGAGGAAAAGGATAGAAAGATAATGTAAAAATGTATTATTGAATTCTACAATAGAATAAAGATATGACAATTTTAGCAAAAGGAAAGAGAGGAATGAATGTATATTGCAAAAAGGTTTAATTATTCAACCAAAGTTCAGTTAATATTAATATGAAGTACATGATGATTAAGGTATATATTAGTACATATAATATAATCCTTAAAACAATCATTCAAAAAATAACCAAAAAACACATTTAGGAAATCAATAAATGAGTGAATATTCTATGCTAAAAATATATTTTTTTTAGCTCAAAAGAGTGCAGCCACGGAGGAACAGACACAATTTGAAAAAGGAGATATCTTTAAAACAAATTACAAAATAACAAAGATAAATTCACCCAATTTGTTAATTATATTGACATAATAATAATAAGCGATTTTCATAGATACATTCAAAGACTAAAAAACTGTTAAAATAATTAAAGAAAAATACAAAAGCAAGTAATCAACAGAAATCCCCAATAAGGCTGTAAAAATTATAAAAATGGGAGAATCTGAAGTTTCACTGAGACAGGAAATTCAAGAAATAAAGAAAAATAAAATTTATAAAAAAGGAAAACAACCTTTCTATATTAGGCTGATTCATCCTAAAGGCAGTAACAGGCAAAGCCCAGGCCCGGGCGAAGTCTCAATAACATTATCTAAGAAGCTAAGACTCAAAGGGATGTGCTCTTGAGACTCTCCCAGCACTTTTTCTCCCAGAAAAAGTAACCTTCCCCTCGAATTCCACCCCCATCCATGTGATTGTACCTTGCTCTGCAAGTTTTATAAGGTTATAGATTCATGTTTTCTGTAACTAGTAACTTCAAGTATTCTATTTTATCTAAGCATCACAGTGAAGGTTATAAGACATGCTTGAGCAGGCCTGGGCTGCAGCCATCTAGGTGCCATAGTGAAGGTTATGAGATAAGCCCATGAAAGGCTCTTTTGAGCAAGCCTGGATAACAGCCATCTGGGCTGCATAGCAAGGGTCATATGTAAAACTGAATTATGAACTTGTCACAATTTGATTAACTGCTTTTGTTCTGCCTCTGTATCCTTGCTTTCATGCCACTACAATTTGCACCACTGTAAGCTCGTTTCAGGCTAGCCAACTCTCTTTTAGAAGTGTGTATAAAATCAAGTGTTGTCTTTGTTCTGGGCCCAGTTTTTTGGATGTTAATCCTCTGGGTCTGAGTGCACTCAATAAAATCCTCATTTTCTACCTACTGATCTCTCCAGTCTCCTGAATTGCATATCACAATGCCAAAACTGAAAGGACAAAGTTATTAAAATAGCTCAAAAGCAGAAGAAAGAATATTTGGATTCAAATGATAATAATATATGATAGTAGTAGTTGTAGTAATAATAGCCTTATTATTCCAATCAAAAGTCAAATATTATTAGATTGGACGTATAAAATAGGTAAAACCAACTGTAAGTTGTCTACAGGATATCTACCTTAAATTAAAATATAAAAAATAGATTTTAATTGGAACATACATTCTACAAATGATAAACAAAAATCATAGAGCTGGAGTGCTATATCAGTATCAGATAAAATAGACTTTAAGGTAAGATGTATTATTATAGACAACAAGTCAATTTCATAATGATAAAATTTTCAGTGCATCAGGAAGATAAAACAACTTAAATATATTGGTATCTAATAAGACAGGCCAAAAATGCATGAAGCAAAATAAGAATGAACACAATTGAAGAGAGAAATAAGCAATCCAACGATAAAAACTAGAAACTTTCAAATTCTACTTTTAATGATTGATAGAACCAATTGAAAAATCAGAAACAATACAGAGACTTGAACTCAAAGTTTACAATTAAAAAAAAATTAGAGAACACAAATTACCAAAAATAATGAAAAGGGGGATATCATTAATGACCCTGAATAAATAAAAATAGATTGTAAGGGATTATTATGAAAAACTGTATACCCGCAAATTATACAAGTTAGATGAAACAGAAAAATTCCTAGGAAGACAAAAATTATTAAAACTTACCTAAGAAGAAGAGGAAAATCTGAAAACAGATGCTCCTTAACTTAGAATGGAGTTATGTTGCAATAAACCAATGATAAAGTCAAAAAAATTGTAGGGTTAATTATCGTAAGTCAGGGACAGTATATTTACTTATAAAACATGAAGAAATTAAATTAGTAATTGAAAATATTTCCATAAAGGAAAGCTCAGGCCTGGATTAATTCTATCAAATAAAAGAAGGTGTTAGTATAAAATTAAAATTATTGGATTTCAATTTTATGAAATCTAAGATCAAAGACCATTAACCAACTCAATTTTGTGAGGCTGGAATTATTCTGATACTTAATCCAGATAAAGATATCCCAAGAAAAACAAAAGACCAATATTTCTCACAAACACTCATGGAAAATTCTTGACTAAAATGCTAGTAAACTAAAACCAGCAACATATAACAGTATTTTGTATTTTGCATCATAACAAAGTCATATTTATCTCAGAAAGCAAAGTTGGTTTAACATAAAGATGAAGTAAGCAATATATATATATATGTGTGTGTGTGTGCGCGTGTGCATATAAAAATACAAAATCACATGATCATCTTATTAGAAACAGGAAAAACATTGGCAAAAACATTCATGATCTAACACAAATTCATTATTTAAAAAAAGAATAACTGTCAGCAAACAACTTCTTCAACCTGACAAAGGATTTATATGAAATACCGACTAACATAACTTTAGTGATGAAAATTCATGTTTGTCCTCAAAAATCAGGAAGAAGTCAAGAATGTGTACTATGGCTGTCAAGAAAAATAAATGAAAGTCATCCAGATTAGAAAGAAAGAATTAAAATAGTCTTATTTGCAGAAGACATAATCTTCTATATAGAATATCTTGGGCCAGGCACGGTGGCTCACACCTGTAATCCCAGCACTTTGGGAGGCTGAGGCGGGCAGATCACGAGTTCAGGAGATCGAGACCACGGCGAAACGCTGTCTCTACTAAAAACACAACAAAATTCGCCGGGCACAGTGGTGGGCACCTGTAGTCTCAGCTACTGGGGAGGCTGAGGCAGGAGAATGGCGTGAACCCGGGAGGCGGAGCTTCGACCAAAAAGAATAAATAAAACCTAATTAGTACTAGTTCCTATAACTATGTGTTGGTATGGAGGCATATGTGACATTCTTTTTTTTCGTTTGTCTACATCCTCACTGTCTGATATCTTAGAATCTTACCTCCTCCAGTTTTGCAACTAATACTTTTATTCCAAGGTGGTTCAGGAGATCCATATTTGATGATCAGCAACAAAAGGCCAATTTAACAGAAAAGAAAAGTTGTATTTTATTACAACTGTAGCTAATATTTTGAGTCAATTTTCCTCTTGTTGTCCTATTGTTAATGGCCTAATTTGTAGATGAGGTTAAATAAAAGGCAAAGTTTTACTGTGAATAAACACTCAAGTAATGGAAATAGACAAAAGAGGTTTAATCATTTTTAATTTTATCATTTACTAGTACAGGAATATTGAAAAAGTTACTTGACATTTTTCAGCTACAAATTTCTCATGTAGAAATGGACATGATAGTATCTGTCTTCCTCATCTGGTCTTATTAAATAAGATATTACATATACAGGCTTTAGCATAGTTTTTGACATGCCAAAATATATTTGAAATATAACCACCTTTCATTTTTTCCCTTGTAATCTCCTTAGGCCATGACAGTATGATTCTTTCCTACAATTAAAGTAACTGATGAATGATCTCTCTGCTTCTCCCTTTGTCCTCCCGTCAGCTATTACTCACAGAGGAGATATTTCTAAATTGCAAATCAGATTGTATCACTCCCATGCTATAAGCTTCAGTGGCTTCCTTCAAGTCCTAATATGATTTGACTCCCTACTACCTCTCTGGCCTCTTTCCTATCAATCTCCCCCATGGTCACTTGAGCCAACATGACCTTGTGATTCCTCAAACTCATAACATATTGCATCTTAAAGCATTTGCCCCTTTTGTTTACTTTTCTGGAATATTCTTCCCCCAGATAGTCAAATAACTTATTCCCTAACTTCACTCAAGACAAATAAACCGTCTCAAGGAGCCCTTTCCTGAGTCTTCTATGATAGAAAACTCTATCACTCTATCTATGCCCCCTAAACTTACTGTATTTCTACTACTGAATAATGTTTTTTTCTGTGCATAATTTTTGTCTTTTCTAGATTACAAGCAACTTGAAGGTAGTCCCTTTGTATTTTTATTTCACTGTTGTTTTATTAATATCAAGATCCACAACAGTGACAGACACATAATATACGCTCAACAAATATTTGCCTAATACATGAATGAGTGACAAATAGTAGACACTCAAAACAGCAGTATAATTGAATAGGACCCTATGTAATTTGACTCAGTATTGGTTAAAACCCAAAGCATTGGAATGGATTTCCCAATTAAAACCAACTGAAAAAATTAAAATCCTCATGTCTCCTAATAGTTATTTAAAAATCAAGACAAACAAAACAAAACAAAACAAAACTCCACTTTCCATTCAAAGTGGATAACGTGTTCAAAGATCATGTATTTCTCTGTAAATGGAAAATAAATTTAATATTTTTTCTATATAAATTCATTATTGATTTACTACTGTCCTTCTATTTCTGTTTCAGTGTTAAAGTCAGTATAATTTATCTTCCTTAGGGAGCCTCGTGGATATGTAAGACCTCTGAACATAATACTGCTCTCATAAGAGAACGGGGATTTATTTCTATGAACAATTAATCATGGCTTCCTGGAAATGCTTTGCAGACCGAGTCCTCCCAAAGCTATTTATCTCCTCCCTTATAAATTGCCTTATAATGTGATTTAACACTTTGCTGCCTGGATGCTGTATTATGTTTCCTATTTACTTTGTAACTACAGTAAAACTCTCTCATAAAACAATGCGTGCTACAAAAAAAGTTGAAAGTTGTAAAATGCTATAAAAGCATGATTGTAAAGTAAATTAAATGACTGGGGAAGCAAGCTCTTTATTTGTAGTGATCCAATTTCTGGCTACAGGATTTAAATCCTTCTAAGATCCAGATGACTTTGGAGCCATTTAGTTAGGGCTGGTAGCTTAAATATCCAGGATGATAAGTTATTTTTATGGTTACACAGAATCTCTTGGAACCTTGTCATCTTTTTTATTGGCCTCATCCCAGGAGAATTAGCTAGGTGAATAGAGAGCATTTTGGGCCATGTTGTTCCTGTGTTCCCCTCGATGGGGCTGCTTCCCTATTCCCACCTGACCTTGCCCTTCCCTCCTCCTCCCTTTTCTCACTCATCTCCACCTACCTTAAGAAACTTGCTTAAAGAGTAGAATGAGAGGCAATCACCAACTAAACTATGTCTGAATTTATATCAGAGTAGAATTTTGCTTAAATATTTTTAAATCTAAACTTTTTTGGAGGTGGAATTAGAGTTTGTGGAGAAGTTAAATAAATTAACTTTGCCTCTATACCTGTCATTTTACCTCCCACCAGCAAGTATTTCCTCACCAAATTGAGGTAGAAAGACACTAGTAAAATAAAAGAACTTCACAAAGGTGTAAAAATGCTCTTAATAATGGTCTAAATAAAGCATTAGAAGATGTGTCACGTCCCTCAATCACGACTATTCCACATAGAGGAAAAAAGTCACAAAGGTCTTACAAAAATAACAATATTGTATGCGACAGCACAGGAAAGGAGAAAGAGCAAAACAAAATGTCAAGAAATAAATTCCCACTTCTTCCATGTGGGTCTCTGTTTTCTCTTTTATAAAATATGAGAGATAAATTTATCCTTGAGGGTCGCTTCTTGCTCTAAAATGAAAACATCTGCCACATTCAGATTACCCAAGTTGTATATTATAAACCCAAAAATAGATTTTGGGAAAATCTTCCTCCTCTGTTCAGGTATTCATGGTTGCCTGTTGTCTCTGGATGGATGCAAATGTTTAGATCTCCATTTCCTACTCCATATTAGGTATCTCAAGAGAATGGCATTGAAATAAGTATATGATCCTGAACAATGGCCTAATAGGGAAGTAAGCGAACTTTCAGTTAAGGTTTACAAATGCATGTGCCTTAAATTCTAAATAAATTGCTCCTTTTTTATTTTAACCGTATGATTTACCAGATATATTTGATAGAAAGTGAGGGGCATGCACTGAGCATAAGAATGAGTTTTACATTGGTGACAACATAGCAAGTAATCATAACTTATTGACACAATTTTATTAGCTAGTACCTAGTAGATTCAAAACTGTAAGTCCTTATGTAGTATTTCACTTGAAAATTATGGTTGAAATGATTCAAGAACTATACCTACTTTTGTTTGCGTGTTTAAACAAATTATTGAAGGTTAAATGAAAACAACATGGCAGCACTGTTGTGTTACCAGGCAAACAGATGTCTAAAGCTGTGAAAATAGATCTGTGAGATAATATGTCATAGGGAGAAAGAGCTTGGGGTCTGGATTCTAACAGACTTGTGACTGAATCTTGAATTTACCATTTACTTTCTAAGTGATTTTTTGTAATTTCTTAAACCTCAGTCTTTTCCTCTGAAGAAGTAAGATGGTATAATTTATCAGATTGTTATTGTAAAGAATAGACAGTACAGATTAATCATGGTATTGTCTACATAATAAGCAAATAATGAAGAATAATTTTCTCATCATCATTATTCTCATCCTTATGTTTACCATTATATTCAAAGCATCTTGGAAAATTTACCAAAGTCTAGAGTTTGGCTCTCAAATTTTCAGACTTAAGTACCCAATTTTGTCACCATACCAAGATCTGTTGTGTCTTTTAGGAGTGAACCAAAGTTAACTGAAGTCAATGAGAGACTGATGTATAATATAAGCCTGAATGCCAGTTGGTTGATTTTCAATAATAACTACAATTTTTATACAAAGAATTGCTAAAACACTATTATCTCTCTATAGGAATAGAGGCATAGAAAGTCAGATTACAATTCTATAGTTGATGGATAAACATAGTGTTAGAAAAGAAATGTCAATTACATATTCCTTGTATGTAGTGGTAATTGAATATGGTGGTATGATGCAGCTATCTCTGAAACAAAGATATATTGCTCTCACAGGGATTGGTCTGTGGGAAAGGCACTATTTTTATTGTCTGGTGTTTAATATCAGTTAGCAAAATTCTAGATCTTGAGGGGTTTTGTTGTTGTTTTTTTCTGGTCTGTAGGCTGACAATATTCACATGGCCTTTCTTCATCAGGGAAATAATACAATGAGCTAATTTTTCTCTTCCTATACTGCTATAGAATTCTTAGATTTCTTCAGGCATTTAGCTTCAGTTTACAATGATTAGAGTATTGGTGTTCCAAATCTGCTGTCCCACAATGTCAGATATTTTGTTTCCTCCAATAAGTGACTAATCCCATCTATTGCGTGAAAATTCTCTTAGAGAGTAACGTTGTTTCAAATTTTTTGGCAGCTACCTATTATTTTGCTAAAATATTGCCCTAGTAATTTACCACATTAATCAGACTCTAAAAGGAATATAGAACATTCAGCAAACAAAGTAGTCAACAAAATTATTGGATTTATATTAATTATTCCATAACTATTTCTTATCTTCCATGAATCTGGCTATGTTTAGGTACTGAGGATTATGTGGAAAACAGGCCCAGTCCTTGCCCTTCAGGAGCTTACTTTTTAGAGGTTAAGACTGAAAAGTAAGATATGGAAGTTTGATTAGATTTGTAATAGAATAATAATAATATGCTAGGAGACTCTGTCTGGGTCTAAACTCAGGGTAACATTCAACATACATAGGCACTAAACATTCAGAATGGAAAAATATCAGCCTTAAATAATCAGTTTAGACATCCCAGCAGACGCCAGCTAAATATCACACATATCTTTGTCTGACATTCAAAGAAATCCCTCTTAGGGAAGTGTCTCTTAAACAAAATTACAAAAAAGGAACAGATTTTCAACAAATGAAAAGTATGGCATGGGGTGTTTCAGACAGAAAAAATAGCATGCTCAGTGGTGTCAAGGTCAAGTATATAGCATAGCCTGGATGAGTGAATCAGTCAAGATACACACCATGAAGATCTTATAAATTAGTGAATAACTTTAAGCAAAGGATAGGAGATGGAGTCAAATTTTTGGAAGTAAATGTGACCCATTGTGTGTTGTCACTAGATGACTTAGATAGTGGCAGTTAGAGAAAACTGATGGATCTGGGAAATGCATTAGGGTACAAAATAAACAGGATTCAAATTGCTTGGGTATAAATGGTGAGGTAGATTGTGGAGGTGCTCACAGATGAAGATGAGACATTAATTCCTACTTTTTAAGTTGTGCTATACACATAGCACCAAAGGAGGAGCAGCTTTGGATGGGTGAGACATTAATTCAGATGTTGACAGCAAATTTGAGATATTTGCCAGGCATTTAAGGGAGACTCTTTAGTAGAGAGTGGAATATTTATGTCAGGAACTCATGATATAATTTGGAAACAAAGTTTAGAGGTAAATATGGCTGATCTACATGCTTTAATTCAAGTGGGAATAGAAAGACCCTGTCACAATTAGTGCATTTTATTCAGATGTAAAAGTACAAATGTAGAATTTGAAATTGCTGAGAGTTTTAGATTGTTTTAATGAGAGAAAAGCCAGAAAGGTTTTCCATAATCTATGTCTACAACAGAGAGGAGGAGATAAAGAGACTAATACTAATCAGAAATTCATGTGCTTCAGGTACTGTGGAAAGATAAATAGAACTCTAAATACAGTTAATTTCTTCTAATTGTCTGCTTGCCTTCTCAGGCAATTACTACTATCCTTATTTTACAGATGGGAAAATTGAAGTTCAGGGCGGTGAACTTGTCCCATGTAATGTAGTGGGTGCTTTGGAACAAGCTAGAATTGTGAAATATAATTAAAATGCACTTTTATTCTTGTCCCTCACTGTCTCTCTATATTTAGTCAGTAGAGGTAGTTTTTCTCCTGCCATGGAATAAATGTGGTCAAGCCTTATGAACTTCTCTGTTTACTCAGATCTAATGGAACATCCTACAGTTACTGAAATCACACAGTCTTAATTCAATGCGTCAAACATGAATATTGAGTGAAATTAAAATCTCATTTCTCCACTGTGAGGAGTAGGAATTCTCGGCTTGAAAACTAAAAATTCTATTTAGTTCCTGATGGGGGTGCAAAATGGGTACATTGAGGGAGACAGGTAAGGTTAAATGAAGTTCTTGTTAAACAGGCATTGCTGTTGGGAGACTTGAAACCCCTTCACCCATCAGATAATCAGAGCGAATGCTTCTTTGACTCATCACATTGGCATGTTACTCAGAATCCATACTCTGCCATCCTTACTTTGTCCTAAACAGAAGATGACACCTTCCCAGATACGAAAAAGTATCTTCTTTGGTATGTCATTCTTCCTTCAAACCCTGGCTTTTAGAAGTTTATTCCACTCAGAATTTCTCTGTTGAGGGTCCATCATGCTTATAGGTATTCTCCTAGTCAGTCTTGTAAATTACTTTAGGCCAGTTCTTTCTCCAAGTCAAATCACACACATCTAGGGCTGGTGAAATATTTCCACCTTCTTGTCTTTGGCATAACTTTATCTATTGCTCAGTGTGGACATGGAAATCAATCTCTCTCTCTCTCTCTCTCTCTCTCTCTCTCTCTCTCTCTCTCTCTCCCCCCCCCGCCCCCCACCACCAGCATGTTTTTGCTAGGTGACTAAGATAGTAGCAGTTAGAATAGAGAAAACTAATGGATATAGGAAATGCATTAGGATATAAAATAAACAGGATTTAAATTCCTTGGATGTAAACAGTGAGGTAGGTTGTGGATGTGCTCATAGATGAAGACATTAATTCCTATTTTTTTAATTTTGCCATTGTAACATATAGCACCCAAGCAGGAGCAACACTGGATGTTCTCTCTCTATCTTTCTCTCTCTCCTGCTCTCACCTCTTTGCCCTATTGCCTCAAGCTGACATCTATAGCCTTTATATTCCTCAATAAGAGTTAATTCTGCTACTTTCTTACAATTATAGGAAGCACATACCAAACACTCCAAGGGATCTTATCAAAGCATCTTTCATTAGAATTGAGGTTGGGAGTAAGTGCCCTCACCCCTCTGCTTAGGGGTGGTGGAGAATCATAGCACACATGCAACTCTCTCTAAAGAAAGAGCCCTCAAATATCCTCGGTCACCCTCCTTTTTCTCAACTCTTTTATGTCCTTAAGGGCTTTCAGTAAATCTGTAATTGTTTTTAAATATTTCCTTTGCAAACTTCATATCGTTCTTCCAAATCACTTTGGAATTTTATATTTGGTTTGGCTTGGTCTTGGTTTAAAATTGACCTGCTATTGTAGTCACATCAGTGTGTTCACTCTAGGATTTAAACCCAGGTCAGTCTGACTCCAAACTCCTGTCTGTTAACATTTGGGGGCCAAGTTTAAATAACAATATTTTAAAGTTGCCCAAATGTGTCAACTGGTTCCCACCCACTCCCAATATCCATTGACACTATGTTGCCTTTTTGAGTTATTTGAATGCTCTAATAGTGATTGATATTCGTGTCACACTCTCTTGTGATGCTCTATAGGAGAATTCCCAGAAGGAGAATCTATTTGGGCTCTCTTTCAGCTCTTACATGGTAACTTTGAAGAACCCACCAATATTATGCCTCTTCTCGTTTATTTCAGGTTCTGTATCTAGAAAGCTTCTTGGTGGAAACATCTCTTTGGCAAATGATCTTTCCACACACCATCTTGGCAATGACACTTGTTTTCCTCCTCAGTCAGACCTTGTGTAATCAGCAACTATGTTAATATCAGAAATGTTCACCTGAGCAATCTATATATTATATTTTTTTCAATAAATATATTTGTCTGCTGAGTAGCATAATTTATTCTGTTTTCTCTTTAAAGTATATTTCATCACAAAACAGAGGTCACGTTGGCTTATACTTACAGATGTTTTGATAACTATGATAATTCTAGATTCTAAATGTATTTGGTTATATTATAAAATCCAAAAGAATGGTAGTTTAGTGCATACAAGAAAATTCATCTGGGAATGAGACGACTAATACCACCTCAGGCGCCTACATAGATTGTTTATAAATATATCTAATGGCACTTTGTAAACCACAATGGGATTTTAATACTGTTACCAACCTCCACTCCTTATTTTATAATGCAGAGAAAAGCTCCTCCGCCTCCCAGGTTCAAGCGATTCTCCTGCCTCGGCCTCCCAAGTAGCTGGGATTACAGGCGCCTGCCACCATGCCGAGCTAAGTTTTGTATTTTTAGTAGAGACAGGGTTTCACCATGTTGGCCAGGCTGATCTTGAACTCACAGGAAGTCATTCACATGAATTTAATATATGTTTCTCTGAACCACCTCCCATGTATTTATTTGTGCATAAGTATTTCCCAGGAAATACTACATGTGCCATAATAAAAATGAGTTTTTTTAAACCTTTGTTTTATATTGTTTCTTCTAAGGACTTCTGTAATATGAGGCTGTATCAAAGAATTTTATTTTATAAATAATTTTCTGTTTGTAGAAGAAACATTAGCCTTTAGCTCAGTTTAGAATGGACCACAAAGAAACTATTGCAATAGTTGACAAGAAGAGAAATCAAATGTTGTTGTAGCACTCTGTAACAAAAAAAGTTGTTGGCCACTTCAGTGTCTATTATAGGGGTATGTCTTAAGTATATAAGACATACACAATGGAATACCCTACAGTAGCAAGAAGCAATCAATAGGACATGTGGCTTACATCTTGGGTAAATCCTAAAACAATTTTTGGAGTTAAAAAGTAAAACACTATTCTCCCTCACTCTAGATAGACATATGTCTAGCTCTCTCACTATCTGCATATATACAGAGAGACATATCAATATATATTTATATAGATAGCAATATCTATCTACTTATCTTTCTAGAATTAGAGACAGAGTAGACAGAGTGGAGAAAAAAAAGGAGAAAAACTAAGATAAAACAGGAGGTTTAAGATCATACACATGAAAAAACAGAGGATAAATTAAAATATATTTTCCCTTTAGCTAAATGGCATAAAATGTAAAAAGTGGTCACTCTAAAACATGTTTAAGAAAGACAAAATTACTGTGTTCTGAAAACTGTTATTAGAAAAATCTAAAAGTGGCTCCTGTGTTGACAAATACCTGAGGTTATAGATGCAATGGAAGACTTAGAACAAAGTTCTTTCATGAATTATAATAATGGAGATCACAGAGATTATGCTACATTTTTCTATTATCATATAGTTGTTACTTTCAGATTTAGGCCTTTAAATAAACTGAAGTTATTTTGTAACTAGGATAAAATGTTAAAACAATTTTTCTAACATCACTTTAAAGAAGTCCTTTTATAATACCATATGTACAACTTACTATATATAGATAGAATACATTATAAACCATGTATGTTTATATATAAAATATATATGTGTATATATAATGAAAAAATCAAACCCTAAAAATTGTATATAATTATATAATATAATGGTTGTTTGGTTAAGTTAATTTAAGCTGAATTTCTTTCACTTGATCTGAAACAGCCCTGAATAACAGAGGTGTTATGAAATATTTCTGAGCTAGTACCAAAATAAAATATATTTTGTCTGTCATTGCTTCACAAGACCAATAAGAAAGACGAAATTGTGAGGTTAACTAAAAATCTACAGTATTAGTCTTAGACTTTAAATAAAATAAACTTCATTAAGGACTTGACTATTGTCATTGCAATGTTACAGATAAGAAAACTGAGGTTCATTAGTGTTAACTAACTCCCTGAAATCCCTCTTGGGAAAGAATATCTAAAATTTATATTTATTTCCATCTGTCTACTTATAAGCTCATGCTTCATCCACTGAAACTGGAGTCAATAGACTTGTTCTCTAAATGACCAGATATTAAATATTTTAAGCTTTGCAGCCCACATTGTCTCTGTCACAGCTACTCAACTCTGTCATTATAGGTCAAAAGAAGCCTTAGACAACAAGTAAAGGAATAGGCATGGCTGTGTTCCTTTAAAATGTTATTTATGAATACAATTTGATTTTTATAAAATGTTCATGTCATGAAATATTATTCTTCTCTCATTTTCTCAACCATTTGAAATATAACAAACATTATTTGCACACTGTATAAAAACAGGTGGCAGCCTGGATTTGATCCACGGGCCATAATTTTTCAACTTCTTCACTAAACTATGCTAACTTAGAAAGAAATTGAAGGTTTTATTTCAGTAGTAAGAAGGTGGAATGCAAAAATTTTACTTAAGAATGTAGACACAGATGATTTTATGACATCAAAAATAGATACCCAGCAGACAGACTGAAATACAGAATCAGAATTCAGGATATGAGTTGGTAATGGTAAATATTTTTCTGAGAGCCCGGGATGAGAGAGAAGTTAAAAATAGAGAAAAGAGCAAGAGAAAGTGACATGTGTACAGAAAGTTCAGTGAAAAGGACAGAACCAAGGTAAACAAATTCATGGGAGATTTGAAAGGAGATAGTTTCAAGATAGAAAAGGAGAAGCACTACTACAAATCCCAGGAGAACAAAGAAAAATCCAGGGCTAAATTTAACAACTAAATAGGTCATCAATGACTTTTGAAAGAACAGTCACTGTAGAAAGTTAAGTGTGAGAGGCAGTTTACAGGTGCTTAAGTAGGAGGCAGAATCAGAATTACAGGCAAACTTTTGGAAGATAGACACCATATTTAAGTTATCTAAGAATTTTGTGCTTAATAAATGTTTATATCACTGAAAATCTTAAATTACAAAACTAAGCATTGTTAGCAATAAATAACTGGAAGAGAGAAAATAGAGTTTCTACACAGACTTGAAATCTCTACAAACATTTAAAAACTACTAAGTTTGGATTGTCGTATTTGGGAGGTTCCTTAAGCTTTAACCTATTCGTTATTTTTTTTCTCATGAAATTGCAGCTTTTATTTTAATGTATTTTAATATATGTAGCATATCTATAATTTAAAGTTTGTGGTAAATCTACAACTCTTCTGACTTTAAGTGACTTGCTGAGTCAAGTTCTGGCCTTTATGTCTCTTTTTATAAGAGATGCAATTGAGTTAAAAGTAGTTTCCAGGGCCTGGCACAGTGGCTCACGCCTGTAATCCCAGCACTTCTAGAGGCCAAGGCGAGTGGATCATGTGGTCAGGAGATCCAGACCATCCTGGCTAACACGGTGAAACCTCGTCTCTACTAAAAATACAAAAAAAAAAAAAAATTAGCTGGGCATGGTGGCGGGCACCTGTGTTCCCAGCTACTCAGTAGACTGAGGCAGGAGAATGGAGTGAACCTGGGAGGTGGAGCTTGCAGTGAGCAGAGATCGCACCACTGCACTCTAGCCTGGACAACAGAGCGACACTCTAAGACTTGGAACCAACCCAAATGTCCATCAATGATAGACTGGATTAAGAAAATTTGGCATATATACAACATGGAATACTATGCAGCCATAAAAAAGGATGAGTTTATGTCCTTTGCTGGGACATGGATGAAGCTGGAAACCATCATTCTCAGCAAACTATCACAAGGACAAAAAACCAAACACTGCATGTTCTCACTCATAGGTGGGAATTGAACAAAGAGAAAACTTGGACACAGGAAGGGGAACATCACACACTGGGTCCTGTTGTGGGGTGGGGGGAGGGGGAGGGATAGCATTAGGAGATATACCTAATGTAAATGACGAGTTAATGGGTGCAGCACACCAACATGGCACATGTATACATATGTAACAAACCTGCGCGTTGTGCACATGTACCCTAGAACTTGAAGTATAATAATAATAATAAAATCTAGCAGCAAGTCTAATATCCACCATAATCTCAAAGCAGCAGTAAACATTTTTTGAGATATCTGCAACAACTGTAATGTGAAATAAAAATGCCCGGGATTTCTATTGGCAACAAAAACATATGTACCACTAATAACACTATGGTTTCCCATCTATATTTATAATGAAAGAAAATGCTATATTTAAGTTAGAGGTTAATACAAATAAAGATGTCCTTTTTAAAAAAAAAAAAGTAGTTTTCAGGTTGACATCTTCAAGTAAAGAGAAGTTAAATAGATTCAAAAAAGGGATGTGGAAATCAACCCCTCCAAAATCCAAAACATCCTTCAACAGGAAATGTAATGTATGAATGTGGGGAGAAATTGCTCCTGATACAGGGTCCTAGAAAGAAATAAAGCACACATTGGATAGACATTAATTTAAGGAATATTACAGAGATTTGGGAAGCCATGGCTAGCAAAAGCAAGAAGGTGCTAATCCTGTGAACGGAAGGGGCAAGCAGACAAGAGTTTCCAGAGTTCAGGGAGACCTTAGGCTCAGAAAAGTTCAGTGAGACCCTAGGTCCAGAAAAGCTTCGATCATGGAGGGACACAGCTACTGCTAAAGATCCAGCTCTCTAGAAAAAGTTTTTGTATTCTGAGAAGAGTTACTAGTTCTTAGATATTTAACAAAAATGAGACCTTTGCCTGCAAAAAAATGGACTGATGTTGCATTTTTAGATAGCTGAAAATATTTCAACCCAATGGTTGATTTCATTTGCTTAGAGTTCATTTGAACATATTGTGGTAAATATGCATTCAACTTGCAATTTTCTGCATTAAAATACATCCCAGATTTACTATTTCATAAAATATTCATTTATTCTTCTGCAATCTTCAATAACCAAAATTCTCTGCCAGCTATATCACATATTTATAGCCAATTTTAATATTTTAATTAACTCTTTAAAAATACTCACCCCAACATTTTGACATACTGTTTGCAAAGAAAAATAAAACTGCACCCTATTAAACTAATTTATATCTGTTTTTCTTCTTATATACTGTCTCAATTTAACTACGTTGGATAAGACTAATTCATCAAGCCACTAAATACCTTTCTATATGCATATGGAATTTGCTAGCCATCATGGACAATACAAATTAGAAAACATTTCTGGCATATGATGTCCACAATCAGTTTATAAAGAAAAGTAATCTCCAAAAAATATATTGGAGTTCAGAAGAGAGGAAGACTGAAGGAAAAGCGACAAAGTGATAGCTTCATGAAAGATGTGACATCTGAGCTCAGTGTTTAAGCATGGGAGAGTTTGGAAATGCAGAGTGAAAGGATATTTTCCAATTACAGGGAGCCAAGAAGATCCCCCCTGACACACCCCACCACCCTCCAGCCACCAACTATCTTAAGATGAAATAAACAGGCCTTGGGTGCTAAAAACTACTGTAAATGGAAATAAACCAGCAATTATGCAGTCCTCAGTATTAATTGCTCTCTGGGGAAAAACCACTCTATATACCAGATTCTGTAATAATGGGCAAAGTGACAATATTGAACTTTTAATAATGCTGAATAAGCACTTTGCCCTAGTATGCTGTAACCACGGAATTTACAGCAAATCATAAAACACACTGTGTGATTATCTCCCCATAAATCCCTTCTAAACCTTTTGAACTGAACACATTTTATCCAGTTTGGAGTGGCAACAGCATGTTTTATTCTCCTGGAGTCAAGATAAATGGAATAAGAGAATTTATATTGAAAATGAAGAGGCAAGTTCTTTTAAACAGCTACAAACCTAGGTGTCACTAGTCAGTGCTTACATTACAAAAAGGAGGACTTATGTCTGAAAAAAAAAGAATAAAATAGAAGCTTGAAACAGATACTCATCACAAACTTGGTTAAGTGATGCTTATTCCTTGATAGCTACCTTATTTTCTCATCAATGCAGAAGAAAAGGTTTTATAAAATGCTTAGAAATGTGCACTTTGTATTCATTAGTCCTAGTTTGTATTATTTTGTTTCTTATTTATTATTCTCACAACTTCATTATTGTTTGTTTGGCAATAACGTGAACCTAGCATGATGTGGAGCCTACTGCAGGCAGATTCTGAATGTTCATTTCAGCTCCAGAGCTCCCCCACACAATTGACAGAGGCTTTTGTTAGAGATTGATATGGTTTGGCTGCGTCTGCACCCAAATCTCACCTTGAATGGTAATAATCCCCAAATGCCAAGGGTGAGGCTAAGTGGAGATAATTGAATCATAGGGGCGGTTTCCACCATACTCTTCTTGTGGTAGTGAATAAGTCTAATGAGATCTGATGATTTCATAAATAGGAGTTCCCCTGCACAAGCTTTCTTGCTTGCCACCATGTAAGACATGAGTTTGCTTCTCCTTCACCTTCCACTATGATTGTGAGGCCTCCCCAGCCATGTGAAACTATGAGTCCAGTAAATCTCCTTTCCTTTATAAATTACCCAGTCTCAGGTATGTCTTTATTAGCAGTGTGAGAACAGACTAATACAGTAAATTGGTACTGGTAGGGAGGGGTGCTGCTGTAAAGATATCTGAAAATGTGGAAGCAACTTTTGAACTGGGTAACAGGCAGAAGTTAGAATAGTTTGGAGGGCTGAGAAAAAGACAGGAACATGTGGGAACCTTTGGAACTTCCTAGAGACTTGTTAAATGGCTTTGACCAAATGCTGATAGCGATATGGACAATAAAGTCCAGGCTTTGGTGATCTCAGATAGAGACAAGGAACTTCTTGGAAGAACTGGAGTAAAGGTCACTCTTGCTATATTTTAGCAAAGAGACTGGCAGGATTTTCCCCTGCCCTAGAGATTTGTGGAACTTTGAACTTGAGAGAGATGATTTAGGGCATCTGATGGATGAAATTTCTAAGCAGCAAAGTGTTCAAGATGTAACCTGGGTGCTCTTGAAAGCATTTAGTTTTATGTATTCACAAAGATATGGTTTGGAATTGGAACTTATGTTTAAAAGGGAAGCAGAGAATAAAAGTTCAGAACATTTGCAGCCTGATGATGTGATAGAAAAGAAAAACCGATTTTTGTGGAGAAATTCAGCAGGCTTCAGAAATTTGCATAAATAATGAGGAGCCAAATGTTAATTGACAAGACAATGGGGAAAATGTCTCCAGGGCATATCAGAGGTCTTCATAGCAGCCCCTCTCATCACAGGCCTGGAGGCCTAGGAGGAAAAAAATGGTTTCATTTGCCAGGCCCAGGGTCTTACTGCTTTGTGCAACCTTGGGACTTGTTGCCCTGTGTCCCAGCTGTGGCTAAAAGGGGCCAACATACAGTTCAGGCTATTGCTTCAGAGAGTGCAAGCCCCAAGCCTTAGCAGCTTCCACATAGTGGTTGAACCTGGGGGTGCACAGAAGTCAAAAATTGAGGTTAGGAAATCTCCACCTAGATTTCAGAAGATGTATGGAAACGCCTGAGTGTCCAGGCAGAAGTCTGCTGCAGAGGCTGAGACTTCATGGTGAACCTCTGCTAGGGTAGTGCAGAAGGAAAATATTTGGCTGGAACCCCCACCCCCGGTACAGAGTCCCTACTGGGGAACTGCCTAGTGGAGCTGTGAGAAGAGGACCATCGTCCTCCAGACCCCAGAATGGTAGATCCACTGACGGCTTGCACCTTGTACCTGGAAAAGCTGCAGACACTCAACGCCAGCCTGTGAAAGTAGCTAAGAGGGAGCTGTAGCCTGCAAAACTACAATGGTAGAGCTGCCCAAGGCCATGGGAGCCCACCACTTGCATCAGTGTGACCTGAACGTGAGACATGAAGTCAAAGTAGATCATTTTGGAACTTTAAGGTTTAATGACTGCCCTATTGGATTTCAGACTTGCATGAGGCCCATAGCCCCTTCATTTTGGCCAATTTCTCCCATTTTGAATGAGTGTGTTTACCCAATGCCTGTAGCCCCATTGTATACAGGAAGTAACTCACTTGTGATTTTACAAGTTCATAGGCAGAAGAAACTTGCCTTGACTAAGATAAGACTTTGCACTGTTGACATTTGAGTAAATGCTGAAATGAGTTAAGACTTTGAGGTACTGTTGGGAAGGCATAATTGGTTTTGAAATGTAAAGACATTGGATTTGAGAGGGGCCAGGAGCAAAATGATATGGTTTGGCTGTGTCCCCACCCAAATCTCACCTTGAGTTGTAATAATCCCCATGTGTCAAATGTGGAGCCAGGTGGAGATAATTGAATTATGTCAGTGGTTTCCTCCATACTGTCCTCATGGTAGTGAATAACCTCACAAGAATAAGTGAAGAAGTCTCACAAGATCTGAGGGTTTTATAAATGGGAGTTCCACTGTACAAGCTCTCTTGCCTGTCACCATATAAGACATGACCTTCGTCCTCCTTTGCTTTCCACTATGATTATGAGGCCTCTCCAGCCATGTGGAATTGTGAGTCCATTAAACCTCCTTTCCTTTATAAATTACCCAGTCTCTGATATGTCTTTATTAACAGCATGAGAACAGACTAATACAGAGATATAGCAAAGACCAGCTGATTTATTTGCCCAGACCTGCTTCTCTACCCCTGAAGACTTGTTCTCAATAGCACTCACCAAGAATTCTCATGCGTGTGTATATCAAAGTCTCATAGCCTATAGTACAGAAAAACTAACCTAAGACATTTGTCCATTATCTCCAAGTTAATCTGTAGACTCAATGCAATCTTAATACAATTTAAGTTGATTTTAAGTTGATTTTTGGCTGAAACTGACCAGTTAATTTTAAAAGTTTGTATGACAATGCGTAAGATCTAGAACAGTCAATTTGGGAGAGAAAATGATGGATAAATTACTTGTACTCCATGATTTCAAGTGTTACTCCATAAGCCACAGTAACCAAGATAAGGTGGTATTGATGCAAAAATAAACACACAGATAAATTGAATCTAATTGAGAGACTAAAAATAGAACTACATATGGAGAGAATTAATTTTTGACCAAAGCAGTTCAAAAAAAGAAAGGATATCTTGTCAACAAAGAGAGTCTAGACCCAAAGAGCAGGCTAGATTCATAGAAACATGAAGTACACATTTTCCAAACACATAACTGAGAGTAATGACTAGGGGGATTACTATTGCTTCCACCTCTTGGTTGCTGAACCCATGTATTCCATTTATTTGGGAAACACCATCAAAAAATGGCTATTTTGTTAGGGTATACACTGCATCCTGGTTGGATAGAGTGCTATTCTTATAAGATACCCAAGTGGGAACATCAACTGTGTCTTCAAAAGACCATTTTATCAGTTCATCAATGTATGCCTATGCTTCTGTGAAGTACTGTAAGTGATAAGACTGGTGAATCCCATGGCTACCTACCCACTGCCTCACTATCTTGGCTTTTATAAAAGTCAGCCTCCAAGATCATGTCCATTCATTATTATTCTCATTTATTCATGCATTTGTACAGTTTCCTCTAACACTGAATGGGGCTAATCTATATAACCAATGCAATATTATGGAAATGATAGTATGTGACTTCAAGTACTAGTAGGCCATACAACATGCTTCCTTCACCTTACTCCCTATTAGATTAACTATGTAAGAAAATAAATGTTTATTGTTTAAAGTCACCAAGTTTTGGGGCATCCTTATGCAGCAATAGATAATCAATGTAGTTACAAAGTGGATCTCTTAGTCCAATGCAATTTTATGTGTAATCCACTCGTAAACTAAACCCTCTGTAAATTATCAGAAAACTCTGCTGGTTAAGTTCCTATAAGAATGAAATAAAACCCCAAGCCCAAAATATATATTTATTCCAATTAAAATGAATCACTGTCCTATGGAAAGCTATCAAATGACCATCTCATAAAGGATAGTACATTCTTGAGAACTCTATTTCTGTTGCTGGTAGCTGGACATCGGCAGTGGCAATAGCTAATTCAGCCTTTGAGCCCATGCTATTGGGCCTATGTATAGCAACCATTCTTGCCATCATACCTATTCTTTTCATGTGCCCACTGTGCCAGCACTGAGCTGACCAATGTAAAAAGCTGGATTATGCTAACTGTCCAGGCCATTTTGCTTAGTTGTGGACTTGGCCCATATTCAGTGGTGCATGTTCTCTGGGGTATACATGCAATATAAAGATTTTCACTGTTCCTGCTCTTCCAATATAACTAGCTGCATGCCTCTCTCCCATATTTCCTTGTCCCAAGTTTTTCAATCCTATTCATGACAATTAGCTAAATGCTTTGCAGTTCCACAAATATATATTCCCGTCTCAGGCTGCTGTTTGTCAAACACGTACACTTACTTGAAGCCCTGCCCACTGGGAGAATTTACTCTTACAACTATCTCTCAGGGTTACCCCTGAGTGGGCTGTAATGTGGCAGCAGTCCATTTTTACTTCAATTCACATGTCAAGTTCATCCAAGAACAATACTCATGTTTTCTTCCTCCATTATTTGATTTTAAAAAATGCCCCCCCGCCCCCGTCTTGTGCTATAGGTATGCACTGATGCAAAATTCATGAATAGCATGGTATCTGGTTCACTTGATCAAGGAGCAACTCACTTGTGGCTTCTGGCTCTGCTTGTCCTGGGTCCTATATGCCTCACTCACATCTCACAGTAGAATGTTGCTGGAACTGCCAAACATTATAATGTGATGGTCTAACAGAACCAAAGACAAAAGACACTCTGGTCTCGTGGTCTCTTGATATCAGAGAATCTTTCTCCCCCATAATCCAATAGCATGACAGTATTTGATTTTAAATTGATGTATCTCCTGTAGGTGGTATGGCTTAACTCCATTATCCTAGGTACATAGTGGTCTCTATTGTTACTTTCCTATTTAGGTTTGCATAAACCCATATAGAAACTTTTCTCAACACAGATACCTCTGATTTCTTAGAATCTGGTGGGTCTCATAGCTCAAGTGAAAGAGCTGATTTTATTTCAGTCTCAACCTCCTGCAGAGGCTTTTCTGGGTCCCACACAAAATTGGTAGGCTTCCTTGTTACTTAGTAAGTGAAACAGTGGAGAATTCCCAAAGGTGGAATATGATGTATTCGTAATCTAAGTAATATTGTAGTTTTGTACTTCCTCTTTAGTGATGCCAAGTGAAAAGTATACCTTCACTTTGGAGGAGGTGTCCCAATATGTTCCATATCTTTGGACCCCTAAACAAATGCACTGTGGTAAGCCCTTTAAGCTTCATAGGGTATGTCTTCTATTCTGAAAGACTGCACATGTCTTACCAAGGCCTCTTACATACTTGCCACTTTCTTCTCATTCAGTCAGTTTAATCTGATATATTTGTATAGTGGACTGATGTGATGTTCATGGAAATGTCCAGCCAGATCAGACACATTTAGACTATACTTTGACTCATGTTAAGGCCCATTATATGGTCCATCCTGGTGTACATTGCAGGTGTACTTGAAAGGAGCTTGTATTTTACTGTTTTTAGGTTTAATATAAGTAAATTTTAATCAAGTTATATGATTGCATGCTCAATACTTCTACATTACTATTGGTCTGCTGTTATTGTTTAGTAGGTACTCTATGTATTGTAAAAAATGGGGTGTTAATATCTACAATGGTGAATGTAGATTTGTCTATTTTCCCTTTAATTTGTCAATGGTTTCTTAACGTATCCTGTAAAACTACAATTAGACTCATTGACATTTTGAATTTACATATATTCTCGAAGATTAACCATTTTATGATTCTGAAAGTTCCCATTTAACTTACAATATTCTGTATCTTTAAGTCAACTTTGTCTGATATTTATATAAGCTTACCATATTTCTTATAATTAGTGTTTGCTTAGTATGTATTTCCATGCTTTTACATTCAACCTAGTTGTGTCTACTTAAATTGCTGACTCTTTAAATACAGACAACAAAATGGTTGGGTCTTACTGTTTTAGACAGTCTCATCATCTCTGTTCTTTAATCAGAATGCTTAGTACACATATATTTAATGTCATTAATTGTATAGTTTCATTTAATTTGATTATTTTCTGTTTTTTAATAGTGCTACCTGTTTTCGGTTCTCTTTTTCCTTTTCTGGCTTCTTTGGCATTAAATATAATTTCTTATTCTGTCTTCTATAAAGACTTTTAAGCTTTATCCGTTTACATTATTTTAGTAGTTTCTACAGATATAATGATTTGCATCTTATCACACCAAATTTGCCTAGATTCAATATTGTGCAATTTTTAGTAGAATCATGGTAAAATTCCATTTTTATTTTTGGTGCTATCATTTTCAGGTATTTTATATTTGTAAAACAAATCCTACAATACAATGTTATGATTTTTGCTTTAGTCACTTGCTTTTTGAAAAATTGTAAGAAAATTGTATATTTATACACATATTTAATATTTCCTATGCATTTCATTTCTTCTGGGAGAATCTAAGACTCTATCTGCTATTATTTCTCTTCAATATAAAAAACTGCTTCAGTGTTTCGTGAAATGCAAGTGAGCTGGTGATGATTTTTCTTAACTGTAATTTATCTGAAATATCTTAGTTCTCTCCTACTTTTAAAGATTTTGCTTTACTTATAGAGTTTTAGGTTGACATTTGTCTTACATTCAGCACTTTTATGATGTCAGTTCATGGTCTTTTACCTTTCCCATTTCTGATAGGAAGTCAGCAATCCTTCATAATATTATTCTATATCTAACGATCTAATGTGTCTTTATCTCTGTCTGCTTTTAAGATTTTCTTTGTATTTTCCATTTTCAGCAGTCTACTGTGAGTTATATCATAGTGGTGTGATTTTCTTTGTGTTTAGCCTTCTTGAGATTATAAATCAATAAATATTGGTATATAAATTGATGGAGTTATTTGAATTTAGACAAATTTCAGTGATTATATTTTCAAATACTTTCATTGACCATTCCCTCTCTCCTCTCCTTCTGGGATTTAAATTACACTGTTACATTGTTTGAGGTTAACCACAAGATAGTGAGGCTCTGTTACAATATTTGCTTTCTTGTTTGTTTCTTTTCAACATTTTTTTCTTGTGTGCTTCAGATCAGATAATTTCTACTGTCTCTATCTCAAGCTTAATATCTTTTTTACTTCATTTACAATGAATTTAACTGGCAGCTTCTTTTACATATTATATTATTTGAGTCTACAATTTCTATTTGGATCTTCATATAGCTTCTATTACTACTCTGGGATTCTGTCCACTTTTTATGACTCATCACTTTTTTTTCCTTTAGGTCTTTGAGCATATTGACAATAACTGCTTTTAGAGTCTTTGTATGCTAATTCCAACATCCATTTTTTATTATTTTTTTAAAAAATTGGGTTATGGATAACATCTTCCTACTTTGCTTACCTACCTGTTTTAATTTTATGATTCACATTTTGTCATATATCAAAAGGAACCTCATTTATGCCATATTTTAAACACTACTTGAATCTTTTAGCATGCAGTTAAATTGCTAACAGTTGATTTTGCTCTTGCCAAGCTTAACTTTATTAGGACAGATCTACTTCAGTTTAGAACTTGGTTGTAGATTTAGTGAAGGGTCCTCACTACACAAGTGTGTCCTTCTGGGGCCTACATTGAATGATTAAGGTATTCTGTGAAGTCTTTCTATTTTGGTTGGACTGGAACACCGACATCTCTCAGAACTGCACAATCCAGATTCCAGCAGTGCACAACCTCTGCTATGACATTTGACTTTCAGTTTCACAGTGAGTGGTCAGTGGAGTTCTCTGCTAGCCTCAGGGAATGTCACCTTACGTATGTGCAGCCTAGCTCTTGGCCAAGGAACCACAATACATGATTCTACAGACTTCTAAGTGCTCCCTCTGTGCAGCTCTCTCTTTTTCAATGTTTGTCCAACACATTCCAGCTGGTTAAGCAGATTACAACTCTATGTTTTTCTTTCTCATCTTGGGAAAATAGGTTTGCTTGGCCTTCACCTTATTGTTTCATGGCAGGAAAATGCTCCTAGTTGATCTTCCAGTTTTATATATGGATATATATAATATATATATCCTTCAAGCCTTATTTTATTTAATTTTTGCTTTATTATATTTATTTTTTAATTTCAATAGCTTTTGAGGTACAAGTGGTTTTCTGTTACATGGGTGAAATGTACAGCGGAGAAGTCTGAAATTTTAGTGCACCTGTCACCCAAGTAGTGTACATTGTATCCAATATGTAGTTTTCCATCCCTCATCCTCCTCCCACCATCCTTTGTTTTGAGACTCCAAAGTTCATTATACCACTCTGAATGCCTTTGCATACCCATAGCTTAGCTCCCACTCATATGTGAGTACATACTGTATTTGTTTTTCTATTCCTGAGTTACCTCACTTAGAATAATGGCCTCCAGCTCCATCCAAGTTGCTGCAAAAGATATTATTTTGTTCTTTTTTATGACTGAGTAGTATTTTTTATGATTGAGTAGCACACCAGAAAAAATGTTGTAAAGAAAGAACCAAAAAAGGAAATATTGGAACAGAGCCTCAGTATCTTGTGATTAACCTCAAACAATGTAACAGTGATATATATATATCACAATTTCTTTATCCACTCATCAGTTGATGGACACTTAGGTTGGTTTCATAGCTTTACAATTGTGAATTGTCCTGCAATAAACATATGTATGCAAGTGTCTTCGATAGAATTACATCTTTTTCTTGAGGTTGATACTAAGTACTGAAATAGCTGGATTGAATGGTAGATCTACTTCTAATTCTTTAAGAAATTTTTATAATGTTTTACATAGAGATTGCGATAATTTACATTAACACCAGCAAACTCTAAGCATTCTCTTTTCATCATATACATGCCACCCCTATTGCTTTCTGACTTTTTAATAATGGCCATTCTGACTGGGGGGGAAGTTGGTGTCTCAGTGTGATTTTAATTTGCATTTCCCTGATGATTAGTAATGCTGAGCATTTTTTTCATATGTTTGTTGAACATCTGTATATCTTCTTCTTCTGAAAAATGTCTACACATATAATTTACCCACAGTTAGATGGGACTGATTTTCACTTGCTGATTTGAGTTCCTTGTAAATTCTGGATACTTGTCCCTTGTCAGATGCATAGTTTGCAAATATTTTCTCCCATTTTGTGGACTGTATGTCAACTCTGATGATTTTTTTCTGTGCAGAAGCATTTTAGTTTAATTAGGTTTATTTATTTATTTTTGTTCTTGTTGCATTTGTTTTTGGGTGTTAGTCATAAATTCTTTGCATAGGGCAATGCCCAAAATTGTTTTTTCTAGGTTTTCTTCTAGAATTTTTATGGTGTCAGGTCTTAGATTTAACTCTTTCACCCATCTTGAGTTGATCTTTGTATATAGTAAGAGACAGGGATCCAGTTCCATTCTATATGTGGCTATCCTGTTTTCCTAGTAGCATTTGTTGAATAGGATATGCCTTCCTCAATTTATATTTTCTATGCTCTGTTGAAGATCAGCTGGTTGTAAGTATTTGGCTTTATATCTAGATTCTCTATTCTGTTCCATTAATCTATGTTTCTACTTTTATACAATTTCCATGCTGTTTTGGTTACTATAGCCTTGTAGTATAATTTGAAGTCAGGTAATGTGATGCCTCCAGATTTGTTCTTTTTGACTGAGATTGCTTTGGTTATTCAGGGCTTTTTTTCTTTTTGTTCCATATGAAGTTTAGAATTTTTTTCTAATTCTTTAAAAAATTATATTGGTATTTTGATAAGAATGTCATTAAATCTCTAGATTGCTTTGGGCAGTATAGTAATTTTAATGATATTGATTCTTCTATTCCATGAGAATGGAATGTATTTCCATTTATTTGTGTCATCTATGATTTCTTTCAGCAGTGTTTTCTAGTTCTTGTAGAGACCTTTCACCTCCTTGGCTAAGTATATTCCTAGATATCTTTTTATTTTGCATCTGTTATAAAAGGGATTAAGTTCTTGATTTGATTCTCACCTTAGTCATTGCTGGTGTATAGCAGTGCTACTGATTTGTGTACATTGAATTTGTAACTTGAGACTTTACTGAATTTATTTATCAAATCTGGGAATCTTTTGGAAGAGTCTTTAGGGTTTTCTAAGTATACAATTACATCATCAGCAAACAGAGAGAGTTTAACTTTCTCTTTTCCTATCTGGATGCCCTTTATTTCTTTTCTTTGCCTGATTGCCCTGGCTAGGACTTCCAGTATTATGTGGAATAGAAGTTGTGAAAATGGTCATTCTTATCTTGTTCCAGTTCATAAGGGGAATGCTTTCAGCTTTTCCCCATTCAGTGTAATGTTGTCTATGGTTTTATCATATACAGTTTTTATTATTTTGAGGTATGTTCCTTCTATACCTAGTTTATTGAGGGTTTTTATAATAAAAGAACTCTAGATTTAACTGAATGTTTTTTCTGCGTCTACTTAGAGAAACATCTGGTTTTTGATTTTAATTCTGTTTATATGATGTTTATATGGTGTCTAAGACCTGACACCACGCTTATGTTAAACCATCCCTGCACGTCTGGGGATACGTTCCTCTTATTGCTGCTTTTGCTTTATCCCAGAGATTTTGATAACTTTTATCACTATTATTATTCATTTCAAAGAAATTTTTAACTTCCATCTCGATTTCATTACAGTTTAAGTGTTTCTTTGTTGACTTTCTGCCTTGATGATCTGCCTAGTGCTGTCAGTGGCATGTGGAAACCCCCTCCCCCACCCCCACCGTTATAGTGTTGCTAACTCTTTTCTTAGGTCTAGTAGTAAATGTTTTATGAACCTGGGATTTCTGGAGTTAGGTGTGTATATGTATTCAGGATTATAATATCTGCTTGTTAGATTAATCTTTTTTATCATTATATAATGACTTTGTCTTTTTTTACTGTTGTTGCTTTAAAGTATGTTTTATTTAATGTAAGAACAGCTACTCCATCTCACTTTTGGATTCTATTTGAATAAGATATATTTTTCTACCCTTTTACCTTAAATCTGTAAGCATCCTTATGTGTTAGTTGAGTCTCTTGAAGACAGCAGATATTTGGTTTGTAATTTTTTATTCATTCTGCCAATCTATGTCTTTTAAGTGGAGCATTTAGATAATTTAAATTCAACATTAATATTGATATGTGAGGTACTGTTCCAGACATTATGTTGATTGTTACCTACATACATTTTTTCTTCTTTGTGTTATTGTTTTATAGGCTCTGCAAGTTTCATATTTTCAAAAGGTTCTATTCTGGTGCATAGCAGTCTTTTGTTTCAAGATTTATTTATTACTATTATTTTTAGCATTTCTTGTTCAGGCTGTTCTGGTGGTGACAGCATTTGCTTCTCTGAAAAAATATTTTATATTTCCTTCATTTATAAGAGTTAGTTTTGCTGTATACAAGATTTTTGGTGACCAGTTATTCTGTTTAAGGAGGCTGAAGATAGGACCCCAATCTCTTCTCGTTTATAAGATTTCTGCTGAGAAGTCTCCTGTTAGTCTGATAGGTTTTTCCTTATAGGTTACCTGATGCTTTTGTCTCACTGCTATTTAGAATTCTTTCATTCATGTTGACTTTAGATAGCCTGATCACTAAATGCCTTGGTGATGTCCTTTTTATAATGAATCTCCCAGGGGTTCCTTGAGCTTCTTGTATTTGGATACTTAATCTCTGGCAAGGTCAGGAAAGTTTTTGTTAATTATTTTCTCAAATATATTTTCCAAACTTTTTGCTTTCTCTTCCCCCTCAGGAAAACCAATGATTCTTATGTTTGTCTGCTTTACATAATCCCACATTTCTTGGAAACTTTATTTTGATTCTTTTTTATTTTTGTCTGATTGGGTAAATTTAAAAGCTTTGTCTTTAAGTTCTGAAATTCTTTTTTTAAACACTTCATTTTATTTTTATTTTTTAATTAAACTTTAAGTTCTGGGATACATGTACAGAACATGCAGGTTTGTTACATAGGTATACATGTGCCATGGTGGTTTGCTGCACCCATCAACCCATCCTCTGGGTTTTAAGCCCCACATGCATTAGGCATTTGTCTTAATGCTCTCCCTCCCATTGGCCCCAACTCTCTGACAGGCCCCGGTGTGTGATATTCCCCTCCCTGTGTCCATGTGTTCTCATTGTTCAACTTCCACTTATGAGTGAGAACATGCAGTATTTGGTTTTCTATTCCTGTGTTAGTTTGCTGAGAATGATGGTTTCCTAGTCTATTGTTAAAACTTTCCACTGCATTTTGTTATTTTCTAAATATGTCTTTCATTTCCAGAAGTTCTGATTGGCTTTTCTTTAAAATATCTATCTCTTTAGAAAATTTTGTATTCATATCCTGATTTTTTTTTACTCTTTTTATGTTGGATTTGCCTTTATCTTGTATCTCCTTGTGTAGCTTAATAATAAACCTTTTGAATACTTTATCTGGTATTTCAAAGATTTCTTCTTGGTTTGAATTAATTGCTGATATTTTTGGAATGTTATAGAACCCTGTTTTGTCATATTGCCAGAATTGTTTATCTGTTTTCTTCTCATTTAGATCAACTATTTCTTCTAATTATTTTTGTATTCATTTTTGATTTGACTGTGTCCTTCCTAATTTATTTTTTACCCTCTTGAGGATGTGACTTTGGTGTTTATAGTTTATTGTAGTCTAATTTGGCTCTTGATGCTTTAAGGGGTGAAGACCCTGCATGAGTTCTTTGGTTATACAGAATCTGTATGACAGTTTTCTTAGATATTGGTTGTAGTAGAAATATGCTTGGTGTGTGCGCAAGTTCACTGTCTACTGTGGGGTTGAAATGGCAGAAGTATTTTGAAGTTTATCTTGTTCCCCAGTGGTGTCCACTTGTTCAGTTATGTTTTCTACAGTATTTTAGCTACTGGGTTGAACAGTTCAGGCTTCAGGGCAGTAGTGGAGGTGTACACAGGTAAAAACCAGTTGTTGGTAAAGCAGGGGGGCAATGCAATAACCAATGGTGGGCAGAGATCCCAGCCTTGACAGAGGTGGCTGGGGGAGCTCTCAGTGAAATGCACTAAGATCTTTTCAGGGGGAAGGCAGGAAGCCACCTCAGCTTCCCTGCCAGACCAGTAGAAAAGCAATCCACCTTCCAGTCATACTCCTGATCCAGCATATGAAGTTCTGACTATTCAGATTACACAGGCACCTCTTTTCATCTGCAGGAATGTTGATGCTTCATGTAGAGAAAGATTGTGATTTTACTACTTATGAAAGTCTAAACCTGAAGAGCACTCCTTCTGTGGGGATGCAGCCACCCTGAAGTGTTCCAAAAAAGCTGTCTACAGATGCACTCACAAGGGGCTCCTATGGGAGAGACCGCAGTCATGCCTGGAGTGATGGACAAAAGGGAGAACAAGTCCCCTTCTCCAGGACCCTTCGTGAGCACTAGGGCTGCCTGTCTGTTGGAGCAGAGCCATAGACTTTCCCCACTGAGTCCAGGACTGCATCAGTGCCTCTGCTGAAAGAAATGACCCACAAACAGAAAGTTCTTGGACTCAAAGCCTACTATCTGAATTATTTTATCCCAGCAAGTGCTCCTTTGATGTGGTGAACTCCCCCTTCCGCTAGAGTAAGAGTCCTTGAGGGCCAGACTACTATGAATGCTGCTGCTCCTCTAGATCTAGCCTCCCAGTAGGACTGCCATACTCCATGCTGGTGCTGGAGAATGTCTCCAAGGGTTCTAGTGATGCGACTTATCCTCAAGTCTCCCAGCAGCAGGTACCAGAACCAGCTCTGAGGCAGGCAGAAAGGGAGTAATGTAGACACTGAGATTCCTTCGTTATAAATAGCCTTCATGCATTGGCTGTCTCAAACGGCGCTTGCAGTAGTAACGAACTAATCATGTGGACAAACTCAGAACTTCCTGGTTAGCAAGGGTGATGCAGGCAATGGTGATAGTTGAGGTCACACACAAGTTTTCTCCTTCCTGGATGCTGTGTTATTCTACCTGCCTATTGCTGTAATAGACTGTGTTGTTTGGCCTCCAGCAAGGAGGTACCCCTTGCAAATGAGCACCAGCTGCAGTGGTTGCTGTGGAATTGGTGCTTGCCTTATGTTACCCAGAGGAGATGTTCTGGGTGTCAGGCAGTGGGTGGAGCCATAGAGCTCCAAAATGTTTCTTTCTTTGGTGTTAAGCAAGGGGCAAAGTCAGGTGGAGGCTGGGTCAGGCAAGTCTGTGCTCTGGCTCCCCACATGCGGGCCCAGGCAGCAGGACTGGAGGGCAGTTTTCTGACCACTGTGGTAATGTTCAGGGAGCAGCACAAGTGCCTCTGTTGTCCAGAAGAGTTTACACAGGGAGCGAGGAGTAGCAGGCAGCAGCAAGCCTCACCCAGCTCCCATACACTTAGCAAGGCGGGTCTCACACCCATTGTTTTCCGCTAACAGCAGCTAGCTAGATTCCAGGCAGTTTGTGTTCAGAACTCAAAACTGCCCTAGGCCGCAAGCTTTCCCCATGGAGACAGAAACTGTGGCTTTCAGGCCACATCCCTCCTAGTATGCCCAAGAAGCAGGATCACCCAACTCCTGCACTCTTGGCTGCAGCACACTTCCTATTCATCCCTGGGTTCTGGTCAAATGAATTTGTCTCCACTCGAGATTATATCATGAATCTCAGGTGGGAGCTTCTCTTAACGTGTAACTGCCACCTGAGTAATTTGGCAGGCTTCCATGAGGTGCCCTGCAAGGAAGGATCCAAAATGGCTTTCCTCCTTCCCCACTTGGCACTGGGAATCTATGCAAAGCACATCCTGATGCCACTCCTTCTCAAATACCCCTCACTGCTCACTAAATCAACCCAGCACTGGGTAGGGTTAAGGCCTCCCCTACGGCCTGGATTGCCATGTTCCCCAGTGGGAGTGTATATCCTGGAGGCATTTTATCCGCACTCCCATGCTCTAGAGACTTACAGTTTTCCACCTGGCTCATGGTGAATGCTGCAGCCCACCCTTCCTTTCAAAGAGTCTGTGGTTTCTTTCCATTTTTCTGTTAAGCTCCTGTGTTGCTTCTTGGAAAAAAAAGTTCATGGTGTGAATCTCTGCGTACTATTTTGTCTTTCCAAGTGGGAGATGCATGCTAACGATGCTTCAAATTTGCCATCTTGAAAAAAAAATAAGGCTTATTTTAAATGCTAGAAATTTTAAATGCTAGAAAACATTTCTTCATCCTTATCATCAAGGTTTACCAACACACATCCAGATGTATTCTCTTTGTATGAATCTCAATAAGCTTTAGCTAATACCTAACCTTGTGTAGAAGCATGTTCTTCCTTAAGACCTCTTGTTGAGAGTTAGCTCCTTAGGGGGAGGTATATTTGTGATTGTGAAAAGGGGAAGCATGAAATTTAATTTTAAGAGCTCATGGGATTTAGTATTAGAAATGGCTCTACCCCCTTTTTTCTTCTAACTTACATTCTATTAAAATTTTTCTCACCTGTCTAAATATCAAATCTCAAATTTCTAAAAAGTATCTGTGGTCGAGTGTGATGCCTCATGTCTGTAATCCCAGTGGTTTGGGAGGCCGAGGTGGGCAGATCACTTGAGGTCAGGAGTCTGAGACCACCCTTGCCAATGTGGTGAAACCTTGTCTCTATTAAAAATACAAAAATTAGCCAGGCATGATGGCACTTGCCTGAAATCCCAGCTACTTAGAAGGCTGAGGCAGGAGAATCACTTGAACCCGGGAAGCAGAGGTTGCAGTAAGCCAATATCACACCACTGCACTTCAGCCTGGGCAACAGAGCCAGACTCAGTCTCAAAAAAAAATTTTTTTTTTTTAATTTTCAAAAACTATCTAAGAACAACTACATCTGCATATCAAGTTGGCATAAAGTGAAATAATGTACAAGAGTAAGCCTTTAACTAATAAAGTCATCCATAAAAGTATCAGTTATTGTGGATAGACTTAATCTTCATAATCATTATTATCCTAATGCCTTGTAACCAAAATTTCATGGTAACGTTTCTTTTTCTTTCTTTCTTTCTTTTTTTTTTTTTTTCACTTTAAGTTCTGGGATACATGATGTGCAGAACATGCAGGTTTGTTACATAGCTATACACGTGCCATGGTGGTTTCATGCACCCATCAACCCGTCATCTCCATTAGGTATTTCTCCTAATGCTATCCTTCCCCTAGCCCTCCACTCCCCGACAGGCCCCAGTGTGTGATGTTCCCCTCCCTGTGTCCATGTGTTCTCATTGTTCAACTCTCACTTATGAATGAGAACATGCAGCTGGGAGCAGTGGCTCATGCCTATAATCCCAGCACTTTGGGAGGCAAGGCAGGCAGATAACCTGAGGTCATGAGTTCGAGACCAGCCTGACCAACATGGAGAAACCTTGTCTCTACTAAAAATACAAAATTAACCAGGTGTGCTGGCACATACCTGTAATTCCAGCTATTTAGGAGGCTGAGGCAGGAGAATCGCTTGAACACAGGAGGCGAAGGTTGCAGTGAGCCAAGATAGTGCCATTGCACTCCAGCCTGGGCAACAAGAGCAAAACTCCATCTCAAAAAAAAAAAAAAAGGAGAAAATGCCGTGTTTGGTTTTCTGTTCCTGTGTTAGTTTGCTGAGAATGATGGTTTCCAGCTTTATCCACATCCCTGCAAAGGACATGAACTCATCCTTTTTAACATCTACATAGTATTCCGTGGTGTATATGTGCCATATTTTTTTTATCCAGTCTATAATTGATGGGCATTTGGGTTGGTTCCAAGTCTTCTCTATTGTGAATAGTGCTGCAGTAAACATACGTGTACATGTGTCTTTGAAGTAGAATGATTTATAATCCTTTGGGTATATGCCCAGTAATGGGATTGCTGGGTCAAATGGTATTTCTGGTTCTAGATGCTTGAGGAATTGCCACACTGTCTTCCACAATGGTTGAACTAATTTACACTCCCACCAGCAGTGTAGAAGCATTCCTATTTCTCCATATCCTCTCCAGCATCTGTTGTTTCCTGACTTTTTAATGATGGCCATTCTAACTGGTGTGAGATGTTATCTCATTGTGGTTTCGATTTGCATTTCTTGAATGACCAGTGATGATGAGCTTTATTTCATATGCTTCTTGGCCACATAAATGTCTTCTTTTGAGGAGTGCCTGTTCATATCCTTTGCCTACTTTTGGATGGTGTTGTTTTATTCTTATAAATTTGTTTAAGTTCCTTGTAGATTCTGGGTATGAGCCCTTTGTCAGAAGGATAGATTGCAAATATTTTCTCCCATTCTTTAGGTTGCCTGTTTACTCTGATGATAGTTTCTTTTGCTGTGCAGAAGCTCTGTTTTTAATTATATACTATTTGTCAATTTCGGCTTTTGTTACCATTGCTTTTGTTGTTTTAGTCATGAAGTCTTTGCCCATGCCTATGTCCTGAATGGTATTGCCTAGATTTTCTTCTAGGGTTTTTATGGCTGTAGGTCTTATGCTTAAGTCTTTAATCCATATTGAGTTAATTTTTGTATAAGGTCTAAGGAAGGGGCCCAGTTTCAGTTTTCTGCATATGGCTAGCCAGTTTTCCCAACAGCATTTATTAAATAGGGAATACTTTTCCCATTGCTTGTTTTTGACAGGTTTGTCAAAAATCAGGTGGTTGTAGATGTGTGGGGTTAATTCTCAGGCCTCTGTTCTGTTCCATTGGTCTATATATGCCTTTTGGTACCAGTACCATGCTGTTTTGGTTACTGTAGCCTTGTAGCATAGTTTGAAGTCAAGTAGCATGATACCTCCAGCTTTGTTCTTTTTGTTTAGGACTGTCTTGGCTACACGAGCTTTTTGTTTGGTTCCATATGAAATTTAAAGTATTTTTTTTCCAATTCTGTGAAGAAAGTCAGTGGTAGCTTGATGAGGATAGCATTGAATCTATGAATTACTTTGGCCATTATGGTCATTTTCATGATAGTGATTCTTCCTATCCATGAGCATGGAATGTTTTTCCATTTGTTTGTGTTCTCTCTCATTTCCTTGAGCAGTGTTTTGTAGTTCTCATTGAAGAGGTCCTTCACATCCCTTGTAGGTTGTATTCCTAGGTATTTTACTCTCTTTGTAGCAGTTATGAATGGGAGTTCACTCATGATTTTGCTCTGTTTTTCTATTATTGGTGTATAGAAATGCTTCTGATTTTTGCACATTGATTTTGTGTCCCAAGACTTTGCTGAAGTTGCTTATCAGCTTAAGAAGATTTTGGGCTGAGATGATGGGGTTTTCTAAATATACAATCATGTCATCTGCAAACAGAGACAATTTGACTTTCTTTCTTTTTATTCGAATACCCTTTATTTCTTTCTCTTTCCTGATTGCCCTGGCCAGAATTTCCAACAGCATGTTCAAGAGGAGTGGTGAGAGAAGGCATCCTTGTCTTGTGCCGGTTTTCAAAGGGAATGCTTCCAGCTTTTGCTCATTCAGTATGACATTGGCTGTGGGTTTGTCATAGATAGCGCTTATTATTTTGAGATACATCCCATCAATACCTAGTTTATTGAGTTTTTAGCATGAAGAAGTGTTGAATTTTATCAAGGCCTTTTCTGCATCTATTGAGATAAGCATGTGGTTTTTGTCATTGGTTCTGTTTATGTGATGGATTACATTTATTGATTTGCATATGTTGAGCCAGCTTTGCATCCCAGGGATAAAGCCAACTTGATCATGGTGGATAAGCTTTTTGATGTGCTGCTAGATTTGGTTTGCCAGTATTTTTATTGAGGATTTTCACATCGATGTTCATCAGAGATATTGGCCTGAAATATTCTTTTTTTTTGTTGTGTCTCTGTCAGGTTTTGGTATCAGGATGACACTAGCCTCATAAAATGAGTTGAGGAGGAGTCCCTCTTGTGTTATTGTCTGAAATAGTTTCAGAAGGATTGGTACCAGCTCCTTTTTGTAACTTTGATAGGATTCGGCTGTGAATCCGTCTGGTCCTGGGCTTTATTTGGTTGGTACGCTATTAATTACTGCCTCAATTTCAGAACTTGTTATTGGTCTCTTCAGGAATTCGACATCTTCCTGGTTTAGTCTTGGGAGGGTGTATGTGTCCAGGAATTTATCCATTTCTTATAGATTTTCTAGTTTATTTGCATACAGGTGTGTATAGTATTCTCTCATGGTAGGTTGTATTTCTGTGGGATTAGTGGTGATATCCCCTTTATCATTTTTTGTTGTGTCTATTTGATTCTTCTTTCTTTTCTTCTTTATTAGTCTGGTTAGGAATCTATCTATATTGTTAATCTTTTCAAAAAACCTGGATTCATTTGTTTTTTGAAGGGATTTTTGTGTCTCTATCTCTTCCAGTTCTGCTCTGATCTTAGTTGTTTCTTGTCTTCTGCTAGATTTTGAATTTGTTTGCTCTTGCTTCTCTAGTTCTTTTAATTGTGATGTTAGGATGTCGATTTTAGATCTTTCCTGCTTTCTCTTGTGGGCATTTAGTGCTATAAATTTCTATCTAAATACTGCTTTAAACGCGTCCTAGAGATTCTGGTACATTGTGTCTTGTTCTCATTGGTTTCAGAAAGCATCTTTATTTCTGCCATCATTTCGTTATTTACCCAGAAGTTATTCAGGAGCAGGTTGTTCAGTTTCCATGTAGTTGTGAAGTTTTGAGTGAGCTTCTTTGACAGTGGGATGTTAAAATCTCCCACTATTACTGTGTGGGAGTCTAAGTCTCTTTGTAGGTCTCCAAGGACTTGCTTTGTGAATCTGGGTGCTTCTGTATTGGGTGCATATACATTTAGAATAGTTAGCTCTCCTTGTTGCCTTCATCTCTTTATCATTATGTAATGCCCTTCTTTGTCTCTTTTGATCTTTGTTGCTTTAAAGTCTGTTTTTATCAGAGACCAGGATTGCAACCTCTGCTTTTTTTTTCTTTTTTTTTTCTTTGGCTTTCCATTTGCTTGGTGAATCTTCCTCCTTTGCTTTATTTTGAGCCTATGTGTGTCTTTGCATGTGAGATGGGTCTCCTGAATACAGCACACCGATAGGTCTTGACTCTATCCAGTTTGCCGGTCTGTGTTTTTTAATTGGGGCATTTAGCCCATTTATATTTAAGGTTAATATTGTTATATGTGAATTTGATCTCGTCATTATGATGCTAGCTGGTTATTTTGCCCATTAGTTGATACAGTTACTTCATAGTGTCAGTGGTCTTTACAATTTGGTATGTTTTTTCCAGTGGCTGGTACCATTTTTTCTTTTCCATATTTAGTGCTTTAGTCAGGAGTTCTTATAAGGCAAACCTGGTGGTGACAAAAATCTCTCAGCATTTGCTTGTCTGTAAAGGATTTTATTTCTCATTTGCTTATGAAGTTTAGTTTGGCTGGATATAAAATTCTGGGTTGAAAATTCTTTTAAGAATGTTGAATGTTGGGCCCTACTGTCTTCTGGCTTATAGGGTTTCTGCAGATTGATCCTCTTTTAGTCTGATGGGCTTCTTTTTGGGGGTAACCCGACCTTTCTCTCTGGCTGCACTTAACATTTTTTCTTTCAACCTTGGTGTATCTGATGATTATGTGTCTTGAGGTTGCTCTTCTCAAGGAGTATATTTGCAGTGTTCTCTGTATTTCCTGAATTTGAATGTTGGCCTGTCTTAATAGGTTGGGGAAGTTCTCCTGGATAGTATCCTGAAGAGTGTTTTCCAACTTGGTTCCATTGTCCCTGTCACTTTCAGGTACACCAATCAAATGTAGGTTTGGTCTTTTCACATAGTCCTATATTTCTTGGAGGCTTTGTTCATTCTTTTTCATTCTTTTTTCCCTAATCATGTCTACATGCTTTATTTCATTAAGTTGATCTTCAATCTATGATATCCCTTCTTCTGCTTGATCAATTCAGCTATTGATACTTGTGTATGCCTCACAAAGTTCTTGTCCTGTCTTTTTCAGCGCCGTCAGGTCATTTATGTTCTTCTCTAAACTGGTTATTCTAGTTAGCAATTTGTCTAACCTATTTTCAAGGTTTTTAGCTTCCTTGCATTGGGTTAGAACACACTCCTTTAGCTCAGAGGACTTTGCTATTACCTACCTTCTGAAGCCTACTTCTGTCAATTTGTCAAACTCATTCTCCAACCAGTTTTGTTCCCTTGCTGGTGAGGAGTTGTAATCTTTTGGAGGAGAAGAAGTGTTCTGGGTTATGGAATTTTCAGCCTTTTTGTGCTGGTTTTTCCTAATCTTCATGGATTTATCTACCTTTGTTCTTTGATGTTGGTGACCTTTGGATGGGGTTTTTGTGTGGACATCTTTTTTTGTTGATGTGGATGCTATTCCTTTCTGTTCATTCTTCTAACAGTCAGGCCCCTTTGCTGCAGGTCTGCAGGAGATTCCTGGAGGTTCAAACCTAACCCTGTTTGCCTGGGTATCACCAGCAGAGGCTGCAGAACAGCAAAGATTGCTGCTTGTTCCTTCCTCTGGCAAGCTTTGTCCCAGAAGGGAACCTGCCATATGCCAGCTGGAGCTCTCCTGTATGAGGTGTCTGTCAACCCCTATTGGGAGGTGTTTCCCAGTCAGGAGCATGAGGGTCAGGAACACATCTGAAGAGGTAGTCTGTCCCTTAGCAGAGCTCAAGTGCTGTGCTGGGAGATTTGCTGCTCTCTTCAGACCCAGCAGGCAGGAACGTTTAAGTCTGCTGAAGCTGCACCCATAACCACTCCTTCCCCCAGGTGCTCTGTTCCAGGGGAAGTTTTACCTATAAGCACCTGACTGGGGCAGCTGCCTTTCTTTCAGAGATGCCCTGCTCAGAGAGGAGGAATCTAGAGAGGCAGTCTGGCTACAGTGGCTTTGTTGAGCTGTGGTGGGCTCCGCCCAGTTTGAATTACCACACTGCTTTGTTTACACTGTGAGGGGAAAACTGCCTACTCAAGCCTCAGTAATGGTGGGCGCCCCTCCTGCCACCAAGCTCAAGCATCCCAGGTTGACTTCAGATTGTTGTGCTGGCAGTGAGAATTTCAAGTCAGTGGATCTTAGCTTTCTGGGCTCTGTGGGGGTGGTATTTACTGAGCTAGACCACTTGGCTCCCTGTCTTCAGCCCCCTTTCCAGAGGAGTGAATGGTTCTGTCTCGCTGGCATTCCAGGCGCCACTGGGATAGGAAAAAAAACTCCTGCAGCTAGCTCGGTGACTGCCCAAACAACCACCCAGTTTTATGCTTGAAACACAGGGCCCTGGTGGTGTAGTCACCAGAGGGAATCTCTGGTCTGCCAGTGGCGAAGACTGTGGGAAAAGCATAGTATCTGGGCTGGAGTGCACCATTCCTCACGACACAGTCCCTCATGGCTTCCATTGGCTAGGGGAGAGGGTTCCCTGACCCCTTGTATTTCCCTGGTGAGGTGATGGCCAACCCTGCTTCAGCTTGCTCTCCATCAGCTGCACCCACTGTCTAACCAGTCCCAATGAGATGAGCTGGGTACCTCAGTTGGATATGCAGAAATAACCCACCTTCTGCATTGATCTCATTGGGAGGTGCATACAGGAGCTGTTCCTATTTGGCCATCTTGCTGTTGCTGCTGGTAAGGTTTTTTTGTTTGTTTGTTTTAATTGTTATTGATAAAATGTCTCCCCTGGCAATATTTAACTATACACAAAATTTCTGACCCTGAAGAGTGATTGATTGTTACTAAAATAAATTTTATCTTTTTAAAGTTTAATCTCGTAGAAAACTAAAAAAATAATGTTGAGTAACTAAATGTCTTGAACTAGTGAAGAATTAGAGATATCAACTGATATAAGGTCACATTTTACATTTCTATAGTGATTCTCACATACAAGAGCAATAAACGATAGCAAATTTGACATGTTTTTTGAATCTTTGTCATGAAACAATTTTTTTTGTTAATATAAACCCTTCCCTCACAACCTTCTATGAATAATAAGATTACCCTGTAGTATGCTTGTAATATCTGGAGTCTCACAGCAATGTAATTCCAGTGAAATTGAAAAACTTTAAACTAGCCAAAGTGAGGAAAGGAAAGTGTCATAAGCAAATTTATTCCTTTCTTAATGTACTATAGAACAAGTGTACTTCTTCAATTCCTTACTGGAGGGCTTTTTAGAGAGTTTGTTCCACATAGTAATAAAAAACAAAAATCTTTAAAAGTTCATATATTTTGGTTTCAATAGCACCTCTCATATGGCTGCATTTATATAATGAGTTTTCATCATAACAATATAACAACACAGCACAGCTCCATTGGAGAAGAAAAGTGGATGCAATTGATTGCTATATGGCAAAAACATTTTATAAAAGTAAATATGAGATGTCCACAGGTTTAGTAAACACACTGAACTTGGTAAATAAGATACAGTCAGAAAACAATTTTGTTTTTTTACCATCTGGAGCTTCAATTATACTCTGTGAAATCTCCTTTCCCTTTCTCTAGACGGTATCTTTGGCAGATAAATTGCTTTTCCCTAAATTCTGGGTATTAGAAGAGTGCCACTTTTCAGCATTAAAAAGTCTAGTATAATCCAAATCAACACTGATCTCTCATACAATTCAAACATTTTTTCCCCTATTTCAGTTCAAATTGACCAAATGCTTGGAAACCAGCAAAGGGAAAGAAGAATTTTAGCATGATCTCTCTCCACTCAACTCTTTGCCAGAGAAGGGAGAGGAGAGAAACGGACAAGAAAAAAATGAGCAAAATATGTTTGCTTAGTTAATGTTGCTGATAATCTTCTACTGATTGGTGAGTCAAAGATTCAAATGTTGGGTATTTGATAGATATATATCGGAGGATTCTTGGAGGCTACTCAGTAGCCTTCATCCTCCACCATTCTGACATGGGTGATGCACTCTATGGCTGATCTCATTCAAATGCCCACTCTCCTTTTCTCCCAAGTTTTCCTCACCCCAATGCCTAGGTTCCTTTCAATATGACTCAATATTATTTATTGAGCCTACAGGGGTAAGATGCACACACACACCATGCTGGTCCTTCCAAAATCTACAAGGGCAGACATTTCTCCTGTTGCACTCTCTCTTTTCTCTCTCATCATCAGATGTGACAATTAGCTTTAATTTTCTTAGGCATTTTTAGGTAAGAAGGAAGCATTCTTATGTGTGCCCTCAAGAATTTTCTTGTACTTAGCTACAGGAGAAGCAGTCTTAGTAATTTCTTCAGTCATAGTCTCCCTGGTATGTGAGTGTTTTTCTTTTGGCCCTAGTCACTTAGCCTGAGACAAAGAAAAGCACATCCCTTTATTAACAGGAAAGGGAGGAAAGTGCACAAAGCCCCAGTCTTTCATGTATTATCTTCCAGAAAATGTTTTGGTAAAACCCCTCTATTTTACTATTTTATGTGGAAAGTGCGTGTTTTCCAGGGAGTAAATTTTGCCTCTTCTCCATTAGCCCTACAGAAATGTTTCTATCTACTCTTTGTTAAAATGTGGGAACATTCTTAACAATTTGCTCGATGTCTCATTCTATTATACATGTATATGCAAGTTACAATTTGTGTTTCTAGTTTGCTAGAATCAAAGACAGATTTATCATAAAGCTAGTGATGCAGAAGCTTTTGGTTTCTTTATTTGCATATCCTTCCTCTCTTTCAAGGTCCTGCTATAATTATATTTTTGTAATGTTGTATTCATTTTCTTAAACATGTTCCCCAAACTGTATACAATTGAGGTCTGTAAAGCCTTATTTTGCCTTTTTTTAAGGGATGTATTTGTAATGTGTTTAGAGCAAAATTAAAATTATTTACTTTGCTCAAGTGTTGATATCAATCTTTACCTTTTATCAACTCCATCCTAAAACCTCTACCGATATTGCATGTTTAAGTCTTTCTAGACTCTACAGTATAAACGAATGTAATAATCAGGTGTAGGAGTTGAATTAAACACAAGCTAATTTACTCTGCTACAAATTTAGGTAGATGTATCAACACATTAAGATCTCAGCCACCTGAGGATGGCATCCCAAACAGGAAGTTATTCCCACTGAATAATTTAATGCAGAAATAAACAGAATTTGGAGGTTTATTGTCAAGTATATTGGCAGGTATTCTATTGGCACATCTAATAATGTAGGCACTCAATAAAGCTACTAACGAAATTAGATAATATTGGAAAATTGATTACAATGTCTCAAAATGAGCAGATATAAATATTAGTTTTATGGATTTTAAATGTATGTCTACTCTTGACACTGAGGAAATTCTCAGTGTGGATCCATTGGTGCCTGACCTTCGTCACTACTGCAGGCCTCTGCACTGCTTCACATCCTCCAGATTTGTGGGTGAGATATAGTAAAGAAGTTTGACTTTGTCAGTGTATTTGGTAGAGATTGCATGGGCACTGTATTAAGAAGGCATTCTTCCCCTCACTCCAGCTGCCTCTGGATTCAGTCTAAAAGCATGTCATGGTCAATTAGTGATGCTGCCATAGTTGCTGGAATGAAAAGTGATGACACGTTTGCTATCAATCTGCCACTCATGGCTGAGGATAAGCAGATGTGCTGCTGCCTGGTAAGTATTCTCATCATTATATTGTCCTACAACAATGTATTAAGATATATCCCACAGTCTATCTTAAAATTTTTATGAATACATTTTGTACAATCATCTCAAAGAAAGACAAAATCCCTACATTTTGTGTATTCATTTTAAAACCTATGCAACACTCAGCAGCACATGGTAGGAAGCAATGACTAGAATGGAAATAACTGAATATAGCTTTTTGTTTCTCCATTTCTAATTCCACTGCCTCAATATATAAAATGTAATATGATGTATTATTTATCAACACCAGTGCAGTGCTGCCGTGCAAATGTCACTCAATGAGATTACCATATATATTTGGCTGTACATAAAAATGTTTTTATGTGCTTTGTGATTATCCGACATTATGGAAATGTAGCAACGAAAGTTAAAACAAATAAGAAAACTTTAGGAAGGAGAATTTTTTCCTATAATAAATACGTGCAAAAATCCCAGGTAGGGAAAAAAGACTTCCTACTGTCCCACCATTGCAGACAGAGACAGCAGCAGCTCGAGCTGGCATATGAGTTTCACAGCCAAACTCTGCAGAAACTAGTGCCTCTTTTCCCAATATCAGCATAGCAGTGCATAGCTGCTTCATGGTGTCCAGGTGGGGGCATGACAGACTCAAGATGAGATGCACTCTTGAGACCAGAGAGAGATTGGTGTTTTCCCGCTCCCAGTTAATGGAATTTTTCTTTGCCTTGATTTACTATTTTAGTGTCTAAAGTACTTAAAGGGGATGAAAGAAATTAATGTATTTAAGGCATACTGTTTCAGGCACTGGGCTCAGTACTGTATATATACATAAACCATTTCATCATATATCTACTCTCTGAAGACATTTATATAGATGAATAGGTATATTTATGTATATATTTGTATGTATAAAATACATTATATACATGTATACATTTATACATGTATAAAATATATATATATTTTTATATCTTGATATAAAAATATATCAAGATATATATTCATATATATTTTTGCATCTTGATATAAAAATATACATGAAATACTTATATTTATATATAGTTATTTAATATTTATATTTACATATAAATCTATATTATATATTATTTATATTTATATAAAAATGAATATGTATAATATACAAGTTATATGTATAAACATATTTATATGTATAAATATTACATATGAATATATAAATGTATTTTATACATACATATATATAACATATGCAAAAATTTACATTTTACAGACAAAGAAACCACAGATCAGAAAGCTGAAGTAATTTACCTAATGTTACCCAGAATTTACACCTAGAGTTATCTGACTTGTGCTATTCTGTGATACTACTGTGATACTAACTTGTGCTATTCTGTGATACTACTCCATCTCATGATAAATAGCTGGATTTTTCTCAATTATTTGTTGTGTTTTATCTTCCCAAAGCCCCTCAACTGTCTACTTCCCACTACCTTCTAGGTCAGACCATTTTCTCAACATCTTCCAGAAATTTGGTCTGCTTTTAAAAGAAATATAAATTAAATAAATTTATATAATTTGGCCGTATTTTATAATAAATATTTTCTAAATAGTTTCATCTTTATGCTTTTTAAAAATGAGGTGGAGTCTGGCTATGCTGCCCAGCTGGCCTCAAACTTCTGGTCTCAAGGGATTCTCTCACCTTAGCTTCCCAAGTAGCTGGGAATACAAGTGCACACCACTGCACCTAGAGCTTTTTAGCTATTTTTTTGTTATTTCCATTCTAGTAATTGCTTCCTACCAGTTGCTGCCGAGTATTGCATATGCTTTGAAATGAATATACAAAATGTGGGGATTTTGTCTTTCTTTGAGATAATTGTACAGAATGCATTCATAAAAATTTCAAGATAGACTGTGGGATATCTTACTACATTGATGTAGGACAACATAATGATGAGAATACTTACCAGGCATCAGCACACTGCACCCACTCTTTATACTTTTAAGATTATTAGAAATCTTAATACTTAGAAAGTGGTTGACCTATTTGCTCACCTAAGGCTTTATTCTCTATGTTATAGAATGGTAGAAATCATTCTCTGTGACTATCTGAGAAATACAAACCCTAGAAATCCAACTTATCCTAGCAGGAGCTTAACTGTAACAAAAATCTCTTACTATGCTAGGCGTATCATTCTCATCAAAGATCTTCCTCCATTTTTTGCTTTTTATTTCTAGAGGCTGACCTACACACACAGTTAGATTCTGACCAAAGTCTTTATCCTTATAAATCACCCTTTGCCTTCCCTCCTTGGCTCATGCTTAGTGAATCACTATTTCATGAAGAGGTAATTACATATTATTAGGCTCCTACATAGCACCAGATATGTATCTAACTCTTTCTGAAAACATGGTTGCAAATGCATTGTTTTCATAAAAATCATCTGTATCTATTGCATACTTACTACATGCCAGTTTTTTTTAAGTTCCCTGCACGGACATTTGAACCACTTCTGCATGTAACTTACTTGTACCTTCAGGACCTTCTCCAGCCCGGTCATGTATATACCACTTCCGTTTGATGATGGAGTGATGCTGTGCATGATCCACTTTATGATTAGATGGGTCAGAAAGCACCCAGTTCATGAGAGGCAGTTCAGGTCACATGGTGACTTGATGAACCATAGTCAAACGTTCAGTTTCCATGAAAGCCCAGTAACAAGCCAAAAGCTGTCTCTCAAAAGGAGAGTAGTTATCTGCAGAAGATGGCAGGGCTTTGCTTCAAAATCCAAGAGCACTCCACTGTGATTCACCTATGCGGGCCTGCAAAGGGCTCCAAACAGCATCCCTATCTCCACTGACACCTCAAGCACCACTGGACCTGCTGGGTCATATGGCCCAAGTGGCAGAGCAGCTTGCACAGCAGCCTGGATTTGTTGCAGAGCCTTTTCCTGTTCTGGACCCCACTCAAAACTGGCAGCCTTTCTGGTCACTGAATTGATTGAGGAGCCATGATTCTCTGTTTTTACAATTCAAATTAGTCTTTTGTCCATTCTACCTAGAAGTTTTCTGCTGATATAAATTAAGAAGAATTAAGTAGAAATGCAGTAGGCTTCCTATCAATTTCACTTGTAGGAACACCGTGGTTAGTCAATGCTAGAGCTCTACATGAGTCAGCTATCCCGATTGCTGCTTTGCCTCTGCCATCCATTACAGTAGCTACACCCACCTTCCCTTTGACAGTTAAGTGCTGCCTCTTGGCCCTTGCCACCTTGGGATCCAATTATTCCCATTGCATTTAAATTTTGTAGTTGAATGTCTGTGGTTCCCACTGTTAGACCTGACATACAGAGATGAGCAATTACAGGGCTCTTTAAAATGCAGGTGTCACTCTCACAAATCTATTTTGCAAAGCATTGGTCAAGGGTATATCTTCTGGACCCTCCCAGCTGGGATGCGTAGGTCTAAAGTGACTAATCCACTCCACTCTCCCAATCTCCCTTCCTCTACATTAACCCAAGGGAGATCCCTTCCTCTACATTAACCCAAGGGAGATCAAGAATTTCCAGCTCGCTCACAATGGGCAATCTTTTAATCCATATTTCAGCTAACCCAGCAAATAAACTATTTACACCTTTTTGTAACTCCCCTAGCTGCACCATTAAGTGCAGAATCCCTACTTAATGGGCCCAAATCAATAAATTCAGCCTGATCCAACTCTATGTTCCTTCCACCATTTTCCCACACCCTTAATATCCATTCCCATGCCTGCTCTCCAGATTTCTGTTTATATAAATTAAAAAACTCAAGCACTTCTTTTTGAGTGTAGGGAACTTCCTCATGGGTCACACTCTGAACCTCACCTCTGGGGGCCCACCAGGACTTTAGTTAGTTATAGGTCTAGAAACAAACAGGGGTGTTGGGGGTGGCTTCTGAGGAGAATCAACATTATCTCCACTGGCCACTGCCTCAAGAGAGGCCATGACTGTTGCCTCAGGAAGCACAGGGTTTATCTCCTCAGACAAAGGTGGAAAGGATATATATATACATATATGCATATATACACATACACACACATGTATGCATATATACACATACACACACATGTATGCATATATACACATACACACACGTATGCATTATACACATACACACACGTATGCATATATACACATACACACACGTATGCATATATACACATACACACACGTATGCATATATACACATACACACGTATGCATATATACACATACACACACGTATGCATATATACACATATACACACACGTATGCATATATACACATACACACGTATGCATATATACACATATACACACGTATGCATATATACACATATACACACGTATGTATATATACACACATACACACATGTATGTATATACACACATATATACACACGTATACACATATATGTATATACACATGCAAACACATATATGTATATATACACATATATGTATATATACACATGTATACACATATATGTATATATACACATACATACACATATTTGTATATATGTATATACACATACATACACATATGTATATATACGTATATACACACATATGTATATATACACATATATACACACATATGTATATATACACATATATACACACATATGTATATATACACATATATACACACATATGTATATATACACATATATACACACATATGTATATATACACATATATACACACATATGTATATATACACATATATACACGTATATGTATATATACACATATATACACATACATACACATATGTATATACACACATATATACACATACATACACATATACGTATATATACACATATACACATACATACACATATACGTATATATACACATATATACACATATGCGTATATACATATATACACATATATACACATATACGTATATATACACATATATACACATATACGTATATATACACATATATACACATATATACACATATATGTATATACACATATATACACATATGTATATATACACATATATACACATATATGTATATATACATATATACACGTATGTATATATACACATATATGTATATATACATATATACACGTATGTATATATACACATATATACACGTATGTATATACATATATACACATATATGTATATATACACATATATACACGTATGTAGACACATATATACACATATGTATATATACACATATACACATATGTATATATACACATATACACACATATATGTATATATACACATATACACACATATATGTATATATACACATATACACACATATATGTATATATACACATATACACACATATATGTATATATACACATATACACACATATATGTATATATACACATATACACACATATATGTATATATACACATATACACACATATGTATATATACACATATACACACATATGTATATATACACATATATACACATATGTATATATACACATATATACACATATGTATATATATACATATATACATATATGTATATATACACGATATATTTATGTTATATATATAAACTACTATATATAGTGTATATATAGTACTACTGTATAATAAACTACTGTATATATACTATATATAATAAACTATTTTATATATATATAGAGAGAGAGAGAGAGAGAGAGTAGTTTATTAAGTAGTATTAACTCACATGATCATGAGATCCCACAATAGGCTACCTTCAAGCTGAGGAGCAAGGAAGCCAGTCAGAGTCCCGAAGCTGAAGAGCTTGGAGTGCAATGTTTGTTTGAAGGCAGGAAGAATCCAGCACAGGAGAAAAATATAGGCATGAAAGGCTAAGCCAGTTTAGCCTTTTCACATTTTTCTGCCTGCTTTATATTCACTGGCAGCTGATTATATGGTGCCCATCCAGATTAAGGATGGGTCTGCCTTCCCCAGCCCACTGACTCAAATGTTAATCTCCTTTGGCAACATCCTCATAGACACACCCAGGACTAATGCTTTGCATCCTTCAATACAATCAAGGTGACACTCAGTATTAACCATCACATCACTATGACAAGGTAAGACGTATTTTCAATGAACTTACAATTCCAGAGTGCTGTTTGTTTTAAGGTTATATCTTCTAAATTTATAAAACAGAACAAAACAACGACAATGACAACAACAAAAACCCAGGTAGGCAGTGCTTTCTTACTGTTTAGTATTTGGGGAAAAAGAAAAAAAGACTTTTAACTTACTAAAATATTTGGTTATTTGGTTAAATTTACAGGTGTTCATATTCCTCAGAGGAAAACAAAATAAGGCAAAATCTTTGGGGGAACACGATGGAGATTAGCAACTTTTCTTTTTAGACCTCTAAATTGCTTTTATATATGCTTGTTAAATGATTTAATTTTATACTTTTTAAATCACGAGCTGCATATTATAAAATGTTATTTATTGGTAAAGCTCCTTATTGTAGCATTTTTACATACACTGAGTTTTGTCAACTCTCAGGTCACTCAAATGGCCTTACATTATTCATTTCAGTGCACCATCTTTTATGTGGTATCATGATTTTTTTCTATGTCTTAAAATAGTGATGAAAGTGAGATTTGATATCACAAAGACTTGTGTTCCTATCATCTATAGAAGCTTGATCTTAGGCAAGTTACACATTCTCAATCCCAATTTCCTTACCACTAAACTATGAATAATAATGCCTGTAGTATTTGAGGGCTGTTTTAGGATTAAATGAAGTACTTAGCAACTATTTATTAGTTTCCTTCTCTTCTTCCTACATCAGTATCTTAGACAAGGTTATTTTCTGTCAAAGCACAGAAATTCACTTCAAAGTTTAAGCATAAAATAAAAGCTATTGAAAAGATATTCTGCAAACTCAGAATATCCAAATAAAAGATAACCAACTAGGTCTCAAGACAGGTGGGAAAGAGTACCCAGCAAGCTACCAGGAACCTAAGCAGATAGTTTAAAATTCTTCCTCTCTACTGCCAGATGAGTTCTCAAACTGCTTCTCTCTGTGGGACTACCTCATTTTTCTTTTATCTGTTGATCTGATTTATCTATTTTTCTGTGTAAATGGCTGGCTCAATTTTTTTAAATTAATTTTACCTCGAAATCCACATATTGAATCTAATTTCAGATTTTAGAGGAGAGAATCTGATTGGCTTCAGTTGGGTCAGTTGCCTGGCACTGATCTAACGGTCCACTGAAGGAACATAATTTCACGTGAAGTATTGTACATGCCAGGAGTCTACTTCTGTTTGTCAATACAAAATGTTAAGTATAAAGCAGGAACTGTGTTTGATATTATGTTTCCTATGTAAGTGTTCACCATCTTTTATCTTTATATTTTCTCTTCTCCTAGTGTAGAACTATGTACATAACAGTTTTTCTAATGCTGTTAGGCAGAATAAGAAGTCAATCAATATTTATTGAGCATCTGCTAGATAATTCACACCTTGTCATTTAATCCATAGAAAATACTCATAAAGCAAGTCTTACCATTCTAACATTTTACATATTTATATAACAAGTCACAGAAATTCTAAGTGACTTTCCTACAGTCAAGGCACAGTAGAAGTAGGTAATAGAGGGGCCTCCTCTGTCTTACCCCCAAAACACATGCAATCACCTCCTACTCTTAACCACTGCCCACATCATCAATAATCCACTACAGGACCTTGAGAAAGATAAGGGATGCATTTAAGAAATCCTATGATTTCCGTCAGCTCTACATTCAGAGTAATGGCTAAGTAAGTGTATGAAAACCGTAATGCTGCTGACTGTGTGATTTTGGACTGCTGACCTAACCTCTCTGTGTTTCCATTTTTTCCTTTGTATAAAGGAGATAATAATAATTTCTACTTTATAAGATTGTGAGAATTCAATGACATAATCGAGTGGCACATATTAATACTAACAGCTAACAATGATTGAACGTCTTATGACAGCTATGCTTTAATCGCTATTTTTGGTTAACACTCAATATTCATAGTGACTTCATGTTATCCATTTTACACATAATGAAAATCACCAGAGAGCTTTCCTTCTCAATTCCACACAGCTAGAGAGTGACAGGGCCAGAATTCAAACCCAGGTGTATTAGTCTGCTCTAATAAATATATAATAATACATAATACATACATAATAAAGACATAATAATAAAGACGCTGCTAATAAAGACATACCCGAGGCTGATTATTATTTTTTTTTTAAAGAGGTTTCATGGAATCCCCATTCCACACGGCTGGGGAGGCCTCACAATCATTGTAGAATGTGAAGGAGGAGCAAAGGCACGTCTTACATGATGGCAGGTAAGAGAGCGTGTGAGGGGAATTCCCCTTTATGAGACCATCAGATCTCGTGAGACTTATTCACTATTGTGAAAACAGCACAGGAAAAACCTGCCCTCATGATTCAACTACCTCCCACCGGGTCCCTCCCATGACATGTGAGAATTATGGGAGCTACAATTCAAGCTGAGATTAGGGTGGGGACATAACCAACCATATAAACATGCAATATGGTTTTTCAAAACCATGGCTTTTAAGTATGGCATTACACTGCCAACCAATAACTACAGAATAGTAAGGACTTAGTAACATTGGCTAGTCTTCTGATTTGTTCTCTGATGGCTCATGTCATGTAATCCATATGTTAAATGACCCTTTATAGTTATGCACTGCACAACATCATTTTGGTCAATGACAAACCACATATATGATGGTGGTCCCATAAGATTATACCATATTTCTACTGTACCTTTTCTATGTTTAGGTATGTTTAGATATGTAATTACTTGTCATTGTGTTATACTTGCCTACTGTACTCAGTACAGTAAGATGCTATACAGGTTTGTAGCACAGAAGCAATAGGCTATATCATAAAGACTAGGTGTGTAGTAGGCTAAACCATCTAAGTGTGTAAGTACACTCTATGATGTTCACACAACAACAAAATCGCCTAACTCTGCATTTCTCAGAACATATCCCCAGCATTAAGCAACACATTACTGTAATTGCATAATTTGGCACTATAATGTAGATTGATAATTTATGACTGTCCCTTCAAAAATACATCAGAATCATCTTTGCATTTGTTTTTTACACACAGGTGTCTATGCCTACTGTGTCTAGTGACCCTTCAAAGGAAGGTCCAAAACAGGTGTAATTTTAGTTAGCATCATGGTTGAATTCATATGTAAGAATCAATAAATTAGTTCTTGGGCGTAGTAGTGTTTACTGCAGATGGGCCCACTTACTACCTTTATGACACTCAACTTTGGTGCCTAGAAATTGGAAAGCCCAAGGATAGGGCCTGGGAAATTTAACAAATTCCCCAGAAAAAAATTGTGTACAACAAAATTTGAGATGCATTGGCTTAGAGTTAAGACTTAAATGGTGAGAAAAATTTATTTCCCAATTAGGCAGTAGAAAAGTCATGGAATAGAGATGCTGATAAAATCTCCCCATTCACTAACCACCATGAGATCGAGCTACCAGGCCTGCATCTTACCCACATAGCAGATTGGTTGCTTTAGAATCTTTCAGGTTAAATGAAAGGCTGCCTAAGCACAATAAATTGTTTTGCATTTGGCTTGTCTTTGGGCATGACAGCCCCTTCAGTGTTTCTTCAATCAACTAATAGTTAGAAAACTTAGACTAGGGGATATTAAAGAATGCTTCTGTCAGCAACAAGGTTTGCAGATTTAATTTGATGTGATTTATAAATTGCTGCTGTTATTGATTCTGTTGTTGCTGGCAAACCCTGCTGCTATATAAAGCAGCTGCCTTCTGTAGTTGAGGTGTGCCTGCATCCATTAATGGATGTCTTGGGCACAGACACAATTTCATAACAGATGTCATTTACCTAGACTGACACTGCATATGGAAATCCCTGCTGCTTTCCCTTTGCACACAGTGAGAGGAAGCTGTTTTCTTGCTACATTCAAAGTTGTATGGCTGTCAGCTAATGATTCAGAACGCAATAGCTACCTTTTAAAAAAAAATTCCACCAGGAGACATTTCTCAGTATGGCAAAAATAACTATCCTTGCAACATATTTCTTGTGAAACAGACAAAAAAAAACTTGATATAATATCAAGAAGGAGAAGAGTGATTGCACACAAATAGTTATACATCTGAAGTCCTATTCCTATGCAGGTTTACCATTTCATGAGAATGATTGTTTTTATTTTTGTATTATACAGATTTTTTAAACTCTCATTTTTGTCTTAAGTCTAGAACATCAAAATTTTTAGCAAACAACAATCATTTATTAGCAGCTTTTCAGAAACAAAAATGTTTAAATGACAAATTGTTTATCAGGTGTGTATGTGTTTCATTATAAAATACAATACTTATTGAGAAATATTTATATGTTAAAATTAAAGAGTACCTTTGCATTATGACATTCACCAGGCCTTTCTAAAAACTTTCTCCTCAGATGCCAAGAATCAATTCATAATTGTGTTAATAGGCCTGGGGATAATGTTTCAAATTAGAAATTAGATTTCATCTACCTGGGCTCTGATTTCATATGTGTGTGTAATGTGCTCTATTACAACTTTCCTTTTTAAGGAAAAAAAAAGAAAAACCTTTTGAGAAAATAGGGCTGCTTATTGATATCTTTAATAGCTAACACTTGCTATGTGATTGGTACTTTCTAAGCATGATCTCATTAAATACACACAGAAACTCTATGGCATGGATACTATCATTATCCCCTGGGGTAGTAATTAGTATTATTCACCAAATGTTACTTACTATCCACCTCCTGAGTATTTGGCATGAATGCATCCCCCTAATTTTCTGCCTCCTTTGAAATTAGGTGTGTGTCTGCCTGAATCCTGAGGAACTGAGCACACTATCAATTGCCTTCAACATGAGAGAGAAATAAACTTTTGTTCCGTTAAGCCGCCAAAATATGGGTATTGTGTTACCAGCACATAACCTAGAACATCCTTCCTGATTTATCTTCATTTCTATTAAGAATCCTGGCCGAGCACGGTGGCTCACGCCTGTAATCCCAACACTTTGGGAGGCCGAGGCGAGCGGATCACGAGGTCAGGAGATCGACACCATCCTGGCTAACACGGTGAAACCCCCGTCTCTACCAAAAATACAAAAAAAAAAAAAAAAAAAAAATTAGCCAGGCGTGATGGCGGGCGCCTGTAGTCCCAGCTACTCGGGAGGCTGAAGCAGGAGAATGGTGTGAGCCCGGGAGGCAGAGCTTGCAGTGAGCCAAGATTGCGCCACTGCACTCCAGCCTGGGCAACAGAGCGAGACTCCGTCTCAAAAAAAAAGAATCCTGCTGTCAATCTCAGGAGGGTAAAAGCCACAAACCTGTGGTACTTTCTCCACTCTCCTGACTGGGTTCTAATTTTCATTTCCTCCTGAAAACGCTGTTACTAACTGCTCTGCTCATTTCTAAATTTTGTTAAAATTCCCATTCACTCCTCAATTTCACAGCATAATTTTCTCAGCTCCTTTAATTACCTCTTTTTCAGCTGTTTAAAGTTCTTAATGTTGCTTAGAAATCATCACCCTAAAGTGAGGATCATGTGGGAAGGAGTTAAATGTTATAGGGAAAATCTATTCTATCACCTATCTATTGAGATACAATTAACAATTACCAATTTCAGAGCTGCTCCTCAAAATCATTGTGTGAGGCTTCATTTTCCTCCCTGGTTTGGGAAGTTTGAGTACACTCACTGCCCTCAAATATTATGGTCAATTTTTATTGTTTATTACATTTTCACTCTGAGTAACCACTTTAAATATTCCTAAAGGACTTCTTACCTAACAGCTCAGTCATTATTGTCATTGAGGGTTGACAGAGAATTTAGCAACTTGACCCTAGAGTTTGCTTAGATTTAAAAATCTAAACCATTTTTTTTTTGCTTATTGACCTTAGGCAATTTAGGTAATCGCTGTGTATCTTTTATTTTATTACCTATTATTTAGGTAATCGCTGTGTAAAATGGGGATTATAATAGAACATATTTGTTAAGATCCTTGGAAATATTAAATTATTTAAAACATCTATAAGGTTTGGGACAGCTCCTGAATACAACCCACATGCACGACAAAAGTTATAATCAGTAATTGCTCAAAGTGTAGCAGACTGTATAGCAGCCCTAGGTAAATAGAGCATAGTCTTTGCTCTCAGGATGCTTGCTCACGGGGGAGGAAGATTGCACTGATTATTGCAATGCAATGTGCTAATTTTTCTAATGGCTCTGGATAGAAAAGTATATTAACATGGAGGAGGGAGAATTTAATCTTGGCTGGGGTACACAGGGGAAGCAAGACATGAGCAAAAACCGAAACATAAGTTTAATAGCTGGACAAGGAAATTCCTGGCAAAGGGAACAGCAAAAGCATGGAAATAGGAGCATGGACTTAAATAGTAGCGAATGGGAACATTCGAAGGAGCTGGAGAATGAGCCTACAGTTTGACCTTGCATTTGTGCTTCAGCTGTTTCTGTCTTGTGTTTTTGGTTTTTGTCATAAGCCACTGCAAATCCTTTTTGCAAGGATGTGAAGTACAAAAACAGATAATTTACAACAACAGTGCTTAGCCCTTAAGGCTTTTGTGAGAGCTGACAGACGGCTGAGATGTCTAAAGAAAAGCTGGTCCTGACAGTGGGACATAAGGAAAGAGGAAGAGCATAACCAGAATAAGTATGGGGCCAAGGACTAGGCGAGGCCTTTTCCACCTTTTACTTGTTTCTTATAACACTTCCACATTTTTTTTGCAATGTCCCTATGTCATTTCTACAAGTATTTCTTAGGCATTTTCTTTAAATGTCTTATTTTTTATATTTTCTCTGATTTTAAGTAATGTCAGTGACTGTTAAAGGCATGTGCTTGTTATAATTTTCTAATACATATTAAGATAAATATGAAAATAAATTTAAAAATTATTCCATTAACATCAAAATCATATTATTTACTCGACATGGTACATGTACCATATTTTCGAGAAAAATGTTCTTAACCAATCATGTGAGAAGATCCTGGCTTGAAGATAATGATACGTGCACTGGCCTGACTATTTTCATTCATAAAGCTTTTTAGAATGAGCAGATTTGTGAAAAGTAGTTAAGCATACTGAGGAAGTTACGAGAAAAGAAGAAAGCAAGCATCAACAGGAATGAGAATAAAGGGAAAAACCCCAGTTGGTGTGTATTGCCACGTTTTGTGTCGGAACCTGTGCTTAGCACTATGAGGAATTAGAGGGTATACTCACCATTCTGTGGAATGAGGTAGGGAGGTGTGTGGGGGCATCTGTGAGTAGGCACCTAGCCTTACTAAATAGAGGCAGAATGTGTGCTTCAAGGGAAGTTCAAAGACAATGTTGTATGGAATTGGAAGGGGACAAAATCACATTTGGTTGGGAATGTCAGGGAACAAGTACCATAAAGCTGCCATTTCAGCTGGGCATTAAACAGCCAGTGTAAATTTTACATGTGTAAAGCAAGAAAAGGAATACAAGGAAGTTTCTATCTTCCGCTGCATGATGCTGCATATCTGGTCACATACATAAGAACTATCTTTGATGCTTGGAAACTAAGCAGATGAGGGGTATTGGGCCTCCAAAGCACATAAGATATCTTCTATTTGTACTTACAGATCCATGTCCCACACTTCTGTACCCACGCTGCCATGTGCATTGATAGGCTGACCCATATGGCTGCACCAACAAGCTCTCTGGCCTTTTGATATCTGGTTGGGTTGGACCAATAGTAACCAGTGTCAAGTGATTCAGTGGAAGTTAATTTCTGATTATCTTCCTGTGCAGCCATATTCCTCTACAGAAGGTTTGAGCTTATGACGGGCAACCTTCTCCATATACTTACCTTCTCTTGGGAAAGGCTTTTTTTTATCTTGTTCCTTCAGATAGGCATGGTAGCTGCTGATATCCTTAAGATTTCCATAAACTCCTCCAGTTTATTTTTTAAACTCTCCTCACTGACGCTGCTGAAAAATGGCATCTCTTTTCTTCTGGGACTGTGACCAATATGATGAACACAAATTATACAAAGAATACAAGTTGAATATAGTAATATTATTTGGATATTCTAGATTTATATAAAGTGTCACCCACCTAGTCCTTTTGAATGGCATTCTGCATGCATTATGGGAAAGAAAGAAATATTTACTTGATTTTGCTAACCCAGACCATCTGAGTCAGTGTGATGGAGCCAATGTATTTCAGATTTCTACACACCTGAGAGGCACTATGGCATAGATGTTAAGACCAGAAAATCTAGCAGCTACTGCCTGGATTCAAATTATCTCTCTGCTACTTGCTAACTATATAATTTTGTCAAAATTCCTTGTATTCTTTGTGTCTCGGTTTCCCCATCTTTAAAATGAGGCTGATTAGAATACTATCGGGTTTTTGTGAGAATTAAATGAATTGATGTTTGCAAAGTATCTGAAATGATGCCAAATAAGTGCTATATAAATGTTAGGTACCATTATTGTTATTTGATATAATAATATGTTAATGAATCCTTTCCTTTGGGGGATATTTGAACCCTATAAGGGATTTTTATAACCTATTCAACTGACTGAATAAAATAAAACCAAATGTTCAGTTTGGTCTGTATATGAATGGATCACAACCTATTATACAATGCAATAGGGTTCAGGTTTAATAGTGCAGTCAGGATGATGAAAGGAAAACAGGTTTTTTGAGATCCTTTTCTTCCAGGTTCTGATCTTCTCCTGTGTCCCAAACCAGGATAATCCTACACCTATACATGGATAATGGTGCTATGTGATTCTTGTCTCACAGTATTACTACTAACTTTAGTACTTCTTTATTTTAGAGTGATAAACTATCTGCAGAAAATTTAATTTACATACCTGCATTGACTCAAAGTTAACTTCATATGCTACTTTAATTAATTTCCTTCAGATGTCTGCAGTAATTTTTCAGTCTCCTTTGTTTTGTATCTTAAGAATAATTACGTTTAAAATGTTTGGACTTACACTTCTTAGCAATATTACACTATACCTCAAGTCCTACTTCTCCGTCTCAATCAACATTCTTTGATACTTGGCAGATTTTAATTCATAGTTGTTCTTGCAGCACATTTATTTTACTTTTGGGCCTCAATCCCCTTACTCAGAAAAGATATGACATTAAATGAAAGCTTGAAAGTCATTACAATGCTTGAGTAATACAACTAAACCTACTCTTTAGCTGCTGCCTGTGGTAGTTCTACTTAACTGTTTCATGTCTTATGTGACTGCAGTATGAGAACTTTCTACAACTAAACTTTGTTTCCTTCCATCACATGAATTTGTCTGAATATGGTCAGAGATCCTAGTCTGTGGCGTTTAAGTGACAAATCATCGCCCATGATAACCATGAAAATTTTCAGAAGGCACACAAATAATGCCTTTGAGAAGAAAGTTTCATAAGCTACTTTCACCACTGGTGCTGTGGTGTGAATGTTTGTGTCCCCTCAAAATTCTTATGTCAAAACCCGAATTCCCAAGGTGATTGTATTAGGAGGTAGGGTATTTGGGAGGAAATTAGGTCATAGGGACAGAGACCTAAGAAATGGGATAAAGTCCCTTAAAAAATAAGTCCAAGAAATATCCCTGACCACTTTTGCCATGTGAGCACACAGTGAGATGCCCTCTATGAACCAGAAAGCGAGCCCTTAACGGACACTGACTCTGCCAGTATTAGATCTTGTACTTCCCAGACTGTGTAACTATAAGAAATAAATTTCTGTTGTTTATTACCTACCCTGTTTATGGTGTTTTATAATAGCAGTTTAAATGGACCAAGATAATGGGGTACCCCATAGGCCAGAATCCATACTGAAAATAAAGTGTGATTCCTTGTACAGGTAAGGATGAACTTCAGTGATTGGGAAACGTGAAGGATGGCAAAGAAGTAAGATCAATCCTAAGGTAATAAAAACTACATGTAATTGTTAGCCAACATAGATCATTTCTTGAATTAAGAGCAAGCTTGTTGAGCTCAGAAGAATTACATAGTGAAAATTAGTCAGGAGTCCTCATTCCAAGGATTGTAAAACTAATTATCCTCGTTAAGTCTCTTGCTATGTTTTGCTCTGGGTCAGTTGCCAGGCTGATTTTTGGTATTAACCTCTGTACTTCTGGTTTCTGGGAGATCTGTACAATAAACTTCTTCCAAATTTCCAATAAATTTCTTCTATTTCTTACAAATAGAAGAAATATATTTTTAATTAAATAAGAATAAAATTCTTATTAAGGAAAGAACAAATTTCTAATTGCTTCTTAAGGAAATATCTGGAAAATATCTCACTGTATTTTTGCAAAATGAATGTTTCTCTATTATTGTTTTTTATTAACTCAAGGAGAAATTTCACAGTATACTTCTATCTTTTGACACATTCTTCTCAGTTTTTCAACCATGTTTCTGTCATTTTCTAGGGCCCACATCAAAACAGCTCTATTATAAATTTCTGCACCTCATCTATTCTCTCCTTTGCTCTGCTACAGACTCAGTGACTGACAATTTTGATGAGTTTTTTACCACACAGTAATGTCTTTGCACCATTGTTTTCAATGGCTTTTATAACTCAAACCATCTGCTCTTTTTTTTTTCTCCTTTTCCTGTTGTGTAAAACATTTTTGAAATACAGTGAGGGAAAGAAATGCAATCACAAACTGCTGTTTTGTGTTGTGCCGCGCATTAATTTTCAAGCTGCTTTGCTTTGCAGCATTCATTTCTCCAGCAGAATAGCAAAGTGTGGATGCCTTGAGGGCCTGAATTTGCTTTTTTCTTAATCATAAGTAATTAGAGAAACTGCCACATGTTGTTTTGGATAGTGTTTAAGTGCAGAAATGCTTTGAAAAGGGTATATATACAGCCAGATTAAAGATATCCAAAGGCAAATTGGTACCTTCAAAAGCTCAAATGGGTTGATTTGTTACTTCAACACTCTACAACACCTGGCTCTGTATAAAAGTGAAGACTCAGCTAAAGAAAAAAATACGTAACGAGGCATCAAAAGGAAATCATGGTTCAGTTTCATTCTTTGTTGTACAATTAACCTACTAGACAGGAAGATGGCTATACATGGGATGAGGCATACCATTAAAGGCCCTCCATAAAGTCTCTCTCTCTGTTTCACAAAACTCTTATTGGCTCTGTAGGATTTTTTCTTTGGGGTCTTGAAAGCATCTTAACCACAAAACTTCACTTTTAAATTATAAGTATCTTCCTCAAATGATACTTCTGTAAAGATAATGTTCATTTAATTATCTAAATGTCTGCCAGCCAGGAGTAAAAGTGTGTTGAAAAATCAGCTTAAATAGGTTTTGAGGTTGAGAGAGCAGAGGCAGAAATCTAAAGGAAAGGAGAGCTGAAGGGATAATAGTGAGTCACCAAAAACCCAAGATAAACTCTTAGGATCTCTGTGGGGAATGAAAATTGAAGATGAGCTGATTCAATTGCTTATACATACAACAAGTAGCTACCTGGCTTCCAGTTTTTCCTAATGCAGTTAATTACAATGAAACTATTGAAACAAGCATATTAGTCCATTCTCACATTGCTAATAAAGACATATCCAAGACTGGATAATTTATAAATTAAAGAGGTTTAATTGACTCACAGTTCTGCAGTTCTGGGGAGGCCTCAGGAAACTTACAATCATGGCAGAAGGGGAAGCAAACACGTCTTCACATGGTAGCTGGAAGGAGAAGTGCAGAGTGAAGGAGCAGGAAAGCCTATCATCAAACCATCAGATCTCATGAGAACTCACTCACTATCATGAGAACAGCATGACGGTAGCCGCCCCCATGAATCAATTACCTCCCACTGGGTCCATCCCACAACACATGGGGATTATGGGAACTACAATTCAAGATGAGATTTGGGTGGGGACACAGACAAACCATATCAGCAAGCTTTTATTCTCCTACCCAGCAATAACCACTATTAAATGTTAAGTGTAACAATAAGCCTCTTAATATTTCCATTTAATGAATAATATCTCCAGTACTCCCAATTAAGCACTGAAACATTCTTGGGGAGTTCTGACCATCATCTCATCTGGGCAACATGTTTAAAGGGAAGAGAACTAAAAAATAAAAAGGAGGCTGAAGCAATAGCCAGTAAAATCAGGAATGCTCCTGTTCATATCAGCCTCTTCCATACCTTCCTAACCTGAATCAAGGTAGGATCCTGTAGCTGCATTGCCAGGACTATAGAAGCTGCTAGTTCATGGATTACTTTTGGGTAAAATGTTAATGAAGGAAACTACATGCCTTTCTAATGTTTAAGAAGAAAATTTAAAATGCTAATAAAGATACATCATGTTGTAATTTGGCATTTATCTTCGATATAAATAGGTTATTACCATGTGTTTCATTCTAAAAGGAGTTGTTAACATCTAAATGTCTCCTAGACTATGCAATTGCAACTTTTGGATCTTAAATGAAATTCTTAAAAATTAAATGTCAAGACACTTCATGACTCTGAAAACACACAATTTTGATCACTTCGAATGATAATAACAATGGCAATAAATATAATAGTGATCAAGAATACACATACATTGCAATAGATACTTGCTTGTCTGCTAATGTCCATGAAATCTAATGAACTCTGTTTTTCTTAAGGAACTGGTAATTACAAGAAAAACTGAGACTATTTCCAGGAAAAGCAAATCACTAAGGTGTGAAGTAATCAGGAGAAAATGCCTTGAGGCAGTTTACAGCTACCAATCTATAGCTGAGTGCTATGAAGCAAAATCCCAAGAATAGATTGTTGTATGATCTTGTTCAAATTATTAATGAACTCCAAGCTGTGGTTCCTTCAGTTGTGAAATGTGAGAGATGGACTTATATGGACTAAAAAAAATAAAAACCTTTTAAATCCTGTCTGTGGAACCCTCTGGTTTCTGTAAAGTCACCCCAGGACCCACTACAGGGTTGTGTAGAGAGAAAATTGGGTGATGCTTCCATCACAAATGTCGTTTCCTCTTCTAATTCTGTCTTTACCCAGCAAAGGGCCCTCAGTCACCAGAACAATCTCCCCAAAGCACAGCTTTCACTATCAATATCCTTTCAAAATGGACCCACGCTGTCCTTAAAGTAGAACTTTAAGTCTGTAAATTGTGGCCTATATTTATTTTCTCTGATTTTTTATGTTTTCAAGCTTCCGCCTTTGTTCATACCACTCTCATGCCTGGAACAACTTCTTTTTAAATTTCTGTCTTTGAAATATTTTTTCATGCCTCAGATACCAGGTCAAGTAATATGTGTTACTAGAAAACCTTTCCTTTTCACATTTCCCCTGCAACACTTTTCTCATTCTTCCCCACCTTCACCCGTGTGCCCATTATATAGCTCCCTTTTATTTATAAATTCAAGGAGCATTGTGGGGTGCATGTACACGCATGTGTGTGTGTGTGTGTGTGCGCGCGCGCGCACACATGTGTCTGTTTGACAGAGTGAGAGAAAGAGATGCCTTTAATAAACAGAATCATTTCTAAGATAAGCACTATATTCTATTCATATCTGTATTTACATATGTGTATGTGCTCAGTAAATGTACATTGAGTAGAAAAGCATCTTCACTAAGAAGTTTTCCAGCCAAACTTTGTGTGAAAATCACCTGGATTGGATGATCTAAAGCTTCTTTCTATTTCTCAAGCTGTGGTGTTCTTTCAAAAATGTCAGTCCTATATGAACTTGTGCATGCATGCAGATAAGCTTGTCACAATACGCCAGAAGGCAATGCTCTCCTTGTAGGGACTGCCTAATGTGACAGTTGGTGATGGTTTTTGGTGATAACCTGTGGGCAAAATAAGCAACATAAAATTAGCTCTTATCACTGGAAGTGACTTCAAGGGAGTCTATAGCTAGAAGGGCATCACAAATTATCCCAGCTCAGTTCTGGCCCTCATTTTCTCACCCAAAATGCCTGACTGCAAACATATTCTTCACTATCAAATATTTCCTATAGTCCCCAGAGGATTTTGCATGTGTGGTCATGATGAATCTATGCCATCTGGGTACTACGCTGTTTTGCTAGGTCTCCACTGGAAATCCGCTGTGCCCACCGGGCATTTCAGCGCTCACTGAGCAGCTTTGGTTTTCTACCATGGTTCTGCTGAGTTGGCCACCCCAGCTAATTGCCTGGGAAAGCAATGCTCTGCCTGAGGTGGTGATTCTTGGTGCTTCTAAGGGCACTCGAATAGCACTGTTTCTTACACTTCTCATAAAATTTTGTATAAGACCAGTTACTTCAGTTTCTGCCTCTACCCTTCTTCTTGAAGGACTGAAATGTAGAGGCAGAAACTGAAGGACCTGGGGCCAGGTAAGGGAAACAAGAGGTGTTCTTCTACCCTCCTTGTCTCTAAAACAAAGAAACAATACAGCAACAAAAACCGCTTCCCTTGGTCAAAATAAATAAACAAACAACTGTACAACGACAATAGCCCTACCACAACGAAGTCAGAAAAAGATACACACATACAAAAATCATGCTTATCTACTGATACCACTAAATACCCAGATACTCAAGAAGTAACGATTTAGCAGGAAACCCAAGTTCTGAGTCATAGGA